>NC_000020.11:823910-975425 GCF_000001405.40 Homo sapiens | reverse complement strand
TATGGGAGACAGTTGTTAATGGAAGTTACATGGGGTGCCTGCCATCCACTGTGATGGCCCAAGAAAACTTGGGGAGGTTGCAACTAGAGCTTGAATGCTTTTAAAATGTGCATCTCAGCTGGGAGAGGACAGCGACAGAGGCCAAGATGTGTAGAAGGACCCAGGGGGTTTCAAAGTGTGCTCCCTGGAACCTCAGTGTCCCCTGGAGCACCAGGGTGATCAGGTTGGATAGGTGGTGCTCCAGGTTCCTCATCCGCGCCAAAGCAGCGCTGCTCCACCGTGATCTGTTCGCTGTCTAGTGAGCTACATCCATTTTTATTGTAATTTGACAGAAGAAAACCAGCTCAAGTGAAAAAGTCACTGGATTTGGAGCTATGGGACAAGCCAAGCTTTGGGAAGGACTGGGAGGCAGTCAGAAATTTTTTCTGTCTCAAGGAGCCCGTGAGGTTCTGGTTGCTGCTTCTCTCTCTGCATCTGATTTATTTTTCTCTCTCTACTTCTGTATTAGTCGGGAATCATCTGGTTGCAAGTGACAGAAAACCTAACTCAATGTGACCTGAGAAAAAAAGAGAATTTATGGATCCCCAGGGTGGATCCACATGCACAGATGACTCTTTTTGGTCTTTGTCTGTGTCTCTTGGCTCTGTTTCTGCTGTATGGCCTCCATTCTCCAGAGGCTCTTCCCTCATGTGGCACCCACCAGCTCTGATCTATATCCTCCTAGATCCAAAGAGAGGAAAGGAAAACACACACATCTCCACACACATCCATTGACCTCAGCAAAAACCCCAAGACTAGCTCTTGTGGGGATGTGAGCCTGTGTCTGAACCTACAACCACTGTAGTCAAGGGGACCTGATGCTCTGATTGGCCAAGCCCAGGTTAAGTGCATCTGGGTGGATATGGCAGCACACGAACCTCAATGCCAGAGAGTGCAGAGGAGCAGAGCCTCTGTTAGCTAGTGCCCACCAAGGCTTCTCACACATGTGCATTGGAACAGGCTACCCTCCCACCTGCAGATCGCCTTAGGTCAAGGCCAGCGCAGACCATTGTCCATCAGCCCAGAGAGAGATGGTCTAATTGGCCCATCCTGGAAGAGACAGCCATTGGTTAGGGTCAGAGTCATGCCCTACAAACAGGATTACTGGGGCCAGTTCTCAGGGAAAGGAAACTGTGAACAGGGAAGACACTTCCAAAATTCTGTTACATTTATTTTGGACTTGTTAAAGTGCACATTCCTGGCCCACAGCAGACGCTTTACAAGCCTCTCTGGAGATTGTTATCACAGTCAAGTTTAAGAACCTTCAAGTTTGGATCTTTCTAGAGCAGCACTCTACAGACTCTTGTCATCACTGATGATTCACAGAATGAACATTCAAGCGCCTGCACCCGTGACTTTAGGGCAGGGGGTAGAGAGAGGCAGTAGCACTGCTTTTTCTAATGAGTTACAGAGACATGACGAAACACCAGACAGGCTACCGGAAGTCAAAAAGCAAGAGGTGCCATTACAACATAGAGGCACAAGAGGGCATCCTAGCCAACTGCCAGGGTCGAGGATGAGGCCAGAAACAGCCACTACCCTTCAAAGACCAGGGTATTGACCTTCAAAGACCAGGGTATTGAAGGATGCTAAGCACCATCCAGTGGGCCAGCACTCTATGAGGCCTGGGAGGGGCTTGTTGGGTTCTTTGGCCTTCAGCATATACTGTAGCTTTTTGAGGTCAGGAGGTCGAGACCAGCCTGGCCAACATGGCGAAACCCCGTCTCTACTAAAAATACAAAAAAATTTAGCTAGGCTTGGTGGGGGTGCCTGTAATCCCAGCTGCTCGGGAGACTGAGGCACGAGAATCGTTTGAACCTGGGAGACGGAGTTTGCAGTGAGCTGAGATCGCACCACTACACTCCAGTCTGGGCAACAGAGTGAGGCTCCATCTCAAAAACAAACAAACAAACAAACAAACAAACAATAAAACAAACAAAAAACAAATAGTGCTATAACTCTAACTGAGGACTGAGGCTTCTTTGCAGTTGGCTGCCTGACTTTGGGGAAAGCTCCACCCCTTCTGGCCTCAGTGTCCCCAGTGAAACTGCAGGAGTTGTGCTGAGTGACCTCTAAGCTCTTCTAAGAGTGGTAAGAGCTTTGCTTTGTCTCCATCTTGACCCCTTATCTCATCCTGCTTTGCTGTCACTTCTGTGGGCTTCAATTCCTCCCACCAGGCTGTTTGTCCTATAGGGGTAGGGGCCATGCGTGGCTCACCCCCATGGCCCCAGGCTCTGCCTGACACAGGAGGCCCTGGACAGATGCTCTAAGAGGGCAGCGTGGGGCAGAGTGATGTGGGTCCACCCCTGCCAATTCTGTGTGACCCTGGACATGTCGTTTCACCTCCTTGATTCTCGGTTTTTCTCAGCTGCAAAATGGGCAGCAACGCCATGTCAGGGTGTGAGTCTGTGTCCACAGATTCGTTTTTCAGGAAATGCTACTTTGTTTTTCTGTAATTTAAATTAATTTGTAATTTGAAGTCCTATTCTGCCAGGTGATAAAGATCACCACAAGTCAACTGAGGGTCCCCTTGCTCTTTGGTAGTGGGGTCGCCTCTCAGGCCCAGTGGGCTTACACAGCGCCAAGGCACAGCGCAGGGCAACTTGGTCTCCACTGATATGACTCTGTGCTGCCTTGCATGGCGGAAAACCCGACATCATCAGTCAATGTGTGCGTCAGAAAGGCCCAGTGACCTAAACAAGATGGGCAATGCTTTCCTCCCTTCCCCAGGAAAGAATCTCGGCGGTGGGCAGCCCTGGGTTAATACAGCCACGCCAAGCTGTCTTTCTATAAGATCCCTCTGCCTCCTGGATCTGCCATGGCTCCACTCTTAAGCCTGCACTCCTGCAGGCATAAGGGAAAATGGGAGGAGAACAGTGCCAGCGTTTCCTAAGGGGCTGTACAGGGCATGCCCGCTCATATCCCATTGGTCAGGGCATAAGCACATGACCACATATAGCTGCAAAGGGCCTGGGAAATATAGTCTTAGAGGACATAAACTCCGCTTAATATCAGGGTTCCAGCCGGGCGCTGTGGCTCAGGCCTGTAATCCCAGCACTTTGGGAGTCTGAGACAGGAGGATTGCTTGAGCCCAGGAGTTTTAGACCGGCCTGGGAAACATGGTGAAACCATTTCTCTACAAAAAAATACACAGATTAGCTGGGCATGGTGGTGCACGCCTGTAGTCCTAGCTACTAGGGAGGCTGAGGAGGGAGGATTGCTTGAGCCCGGGAAGTCTAGGCTGCAGTGAGCCAAGGTCGTGCCACTGCACTTCAGCCTGGGGGGCAGAGCAAGACCTTGCCTCAAAAAATAAAATAAAAATCAGGATTCCACTACTGAGGATGAGGGGAGAGTGGACGAGGGGCAAAGTGTGCAGAGGCACGAGTCTCCACTGCTCTTGGAACCCGGGTCCCACGTCTTCAGAATTTGTCACCTTCCCCTGCTCAAGACCTCAGCTTGAGGATGGGACAGGGCTTGGGAGGGGAGCTAGTGGAGAAGGAGAAGAAAGAATGTAGGCCTCCTCCTGCCCCAGGACACAGTAGAGGCTAAATTCTTTTGTTCTTTATGCATTTTTAGGGTGAACTATTTCAAACCTACAGTCAAGAATTTAAAATAATATAATAAACATTTGTGTGCCATGATCCTGAATTCAGTGTTGGTTAGTCCCATGTCTTCTGCTCTGAATGCATATTTACAAGTCACAAATGCTACAAAATATTGCTTTGCAGGTCCTTGAACTTTATATAAATGGCTCTTACTATATGATTCATCGTGCACCTTGCTTTTTTCCTCTCAGCCCCGTCTTTGAGCTGTGCCCACAATGATAACTGTAGCTACCTCAGTCATTTATCATGGCTGGGTTGTGTATGTGGTATCTGGCTGTGGTGTATGAATATACCACAATGTATTTATCTATTCCTTTGGCAGAGGGTTAGCTTTTTGCAGTTGTTTGCTATTAAATAATGCTGCAATAAATATCTTTGTCTCTTTCTACACATATACAAGGGTTTCTCTAGGTCAGTGTTTCTGAGAGCATGGTCCCTGGACCAGCAGCATCAGCATCACCTGGGAACCTGTTAGAAATACAAATTCTCAGACCTACTGAATCAGACGTACCAGGGGTGGAACCCAGGGACCTATATTCTAACAAGCTCTCTAGGAGCTGCTGTTGTGCGCCAGAGTTTGAGAACTGCCGCTCTAGGGTATATACCAGAAGCTAAATTGTTACATTTAGAAGAGACATCAGGCCAGTCGTGGTGGCTCATGCCTATAATCCCAACACTTTGGGACCCTGAGGCAGGAAGATCACTTGAGGCCAGAGTTCAAGACCAGCCTGGGAAACAGAGAGAGACCATCTGTACAAAAGTTTTTAAAAAATTATCTTGGTGTGGTGGGACATGCCTGTAGTCCCAGCTACTTAGGAGGCTGAGGCAGGAGGATTGCTTGAGCCCAGGAATTTGAGGCTGCAGTGAGCTTAGGATCATGCCACTGCACTGGAGCCTGGGTGACAGAGCAAGATCCTGTCTTAACAAAACAAAACAAACAAAAAAACTTTTTAACACAAAAAGAAAAGAGACATCTCCAAATTTATTAGGTACTGCTAGATTTTTCCCCGAAGTTTACACTCCTATCTAAGGTGAAAAAGCGAAGGTTTCCTCTCATTCTTGCCAGCTCTGGGTAGTATCAGAATCTGAATCTTTTGCTGAGTGAGAAGTCCGGACTCTGCTAAATTCTCAGTGGATGTTCTTATTTCTCTGGCTCTGGGAATCTCCCTTACAACATCACACTTGCTCTCTGCCCTCAGATCCCTGCCAGGTATACAGCTCCAGAGGCACAAAAATCTTTATTCTGCTCTCCTGTTGCAGTTTCTTATCCCAGGGCAAGAAAATTGAGGGCAATGCCAACTTTGCTTGGGAACAGCATCCCAGGGTACACTTTAGTTACTGTGTGCTTCCGTACGACCCTGGATCAGTAAGCCTCCTGAGTTATAAGCAACAGAAAGAGGGTTATCAGCAGGATGTGGGGCCTCACCGAATCTAAGGAACAGAAGGTGAGGACTGGGGAAGTAGCAGTACTCATCCGAGAGCTGGAGCAGGGAGGAAGGAACAGAGGGACTGAGGGATGGAAGGGAGAGAGAAAGGCCTCAGCCAGGGCTGGGCAGAGAGCCTGCCCTGCCTCCACCATGAACCCCATTTCTGTGTGACCCTCACTCTTGTGTCCCACTCCCAGGACTGGAGTCACCAGAATGTGTATCTGACCGGGCTTTCGTTAGCTCTCACCTGCTGCCAACTTAAAGGAGGGCCAGAACTCTTTTGGTTTCTGTTCCAGGGGGAAGGTGCCAGGATGTGTTTCATCAGGACCTTGCACAATGGGGAATTCCTCTAAAAGGGAGATGGGGCACCAATAGGAAGAGGGGAGCATCTGAGAGCTGGAGAGCCAAGAATGTTTCCTGCCGGGTGGTCTTGGGGCTCAGGTGAATCAAGGTGTATAACCGGATTATTAACCAGTCTGACCCTAATGACATATAAACATGAAACCATTTACTGTTTCCCCAATTGCTGCCTCTCAAAAGCTGCCCTATCCTTTCCTGTCACTTAGTGACACCTGGTCATTTTCTGACTCTCCCCCACCTCCTACTCCCAGTGGTCTCCCCTGCTGCCTCTTACTGCTGGGGCACCTCCCAGCAACCAGCCTTCTTGTGCCAGGCAGCAGGAATACCACCTAAGCCTGGCTGCTCCCAAGGTGCCCCTTACCACTGAGAACTCCCTCACACGTGCCGGGAAGGATGTGCAGGCTCTTCTATCACACTCTTCCCCTCAGCTCTGCCCTTCTGTCTCCTGGTCTCCTTTCTCTGTTCAAAGAGGAATGGGAAGGGGGCAGATTCGCAGGGCTATGGACATGAGTTTATGTCCAAGCAGGGCATGAGATGCTGGCACCTTCTTGCAGGCACCCCCTGTCTTTGTGAGTTTCTCTGGCATCTCCTCACTTCGTTGGCAGGGTTGGGAACAGAGGAAAAGTCACAGCACCACAACTCACTTCCCTAGGCTGTCCACTTCTTTTTATTTTCTTCTTTATTGGAAACATGGCTTCACTCTGTCTCTCCGACTGGAGTACAGTGGCACAAACACAGCTCACTGCAGCCTTCCCCGCTCAGGCGATCCTCCCACCTTAGCCTCCCAAGTAGCTGGGACTACAGGTGTGTGCCACCATACCCGGCTAATTTTTGTATTTTTTGTAGAGACAGGGCCTCGCCATATTGTCCAGGCTGGTCTCAAACTCCTGGACTCAAGCAATTCTCCCATCTTGGCCTCCCAAAATGCTGGGATGACAGGCATGAGCCACTGTGCCTGGCCAGGCTGACAATCCCTAACTCCCATGAGTCCCTCCCTGCAAGTGTTCAGCTTAATCAGGGTCCTGGGGTGATGGTCAGGGTAACAGAGACTCCTTATGAGCCTGGGAGAGGCTCACTTAAGATTCTAGAGCATTTTCCACCTCTTTTTTCCCCAGCTTTGGCTCCTGGGTGCCAATTCTGGGGTAACAAAAAATTTTCTCCTTAAAAAAATTTCTCCCATTGCTATTCCTGATGATGGTGGGAGCCCTTGCTGATGGTGACAGTGAGAAATGGAGTATTGCTGAGTATTGTTCAGGAACCCAGCAGGAGGGTGAGGGTCTCACCCCACCCCACTCATCATGTGCACCCACACACACTCAAAAATTCACATTACTTTGGTAAAGATTAAGTTTGCTTGTGAGTGATGGAAAACTTCAAATAACAGTGATTTAAGCAAGATAGATGTTGATTTCTCTCTCATGTAACAGTCTACACAGGCAGGCTAGAGCTGGTACAGCAGTTCTGCCTTCCTCAGGCACCCAGGTGCTTTTTATCTGATTTTTCCACCGCCTCACGGGACATAGTTTCCACCTCATGATCTGAAATGGCTGCTTGTGCTCCAGCCATCGTTCACATTCCACCCAACAGAAAGGATGAGGGGACGACAAGGGGCACACCCCTGCCCTTTAAGGCAGCTTTCTTGAAGTGTCACATGCTGCTTTACCTTACATCTGATTGGCCAGATGTTGGTCACATGACCATATCTAGTTGTAAGGGAAGGTGGGAAATGTAGTCTTTTGTTTGGGTGGCCATGTGCCCAGTTACTATCCCAATGAGACCATCTCAGCTGCTCGCATATATGGTTTGACCATCTCTCTCTCCCTTTCCCCCTCCTTCTGCCCTGGTCTTGTGGGCAGTGGGCACTGGCCTGGGGGGCAACTGCACAGGCTGTATCATCTGCTCAGAGGAGAACGGCTGTTCCACCTGCCAGCAGAGGCTCTTCCTGTTCATCCGCCGGGAAGGCATCCGCCAGTACGGCAAGTGCCTGCACGACTGTCCCCCTGGGTACTTCGGCATCCGCGGCCAGGAGGTCAACAGGTGCAAAAGTACGTGGCTTCTCCCTTGTTCTATGCTAGTGCTGGGCTCCTAGACACCATGGGCTTAGATCCCACCCTTTCACCCCAGCACAGACAGAGGGGAAGTAGGTGCATGTCTAAGCCCAGACTCTGAGATACCTGCCTGTGTCCAGGCTGACTCCGCAGCCCGAGGCAAGTCAGTCCGCTCTCAGCCTTAATTAGCACTAATAGAACAGGCAACTTTCACTTCTACCCTAGTTTGTGGTGTGGCCTTAGGCATGTAACTCACCTTCTCTGGTCTTAGCTCAAATAGGAAAAGGAGTCCTAATTCCAAGCTCTAATTTTTGCTGTAACTTTGGGCAAATTATCACTATTTCTGAGGTGAAAAAGAAGCAGGGAGTCCTCACTCCAGCCCTGGTTTGCGGGTGACTTCAAGCAAGTCACTCGCTCTCTCTGAGCCTCCCCTCAAATGAGAAAGGGAGTGTTCTCTTCACATGCAGCCCAGTTTGACCTTGGCCAAGTCTGGGCTTCAAAGGAGACACTGAGTCCTGACCCAAATGCTACCAAGCCTGGAGCTACCCAGAGGGCCTTCCACCTCGGGCAGACCCAGTGGGCCCCATCCTTGGCAGTCTCCCTCACCTGGGGTGTCCCTGGCTCTATTACAGAATGTGGGGCCACTTGTGAGAGCTGCTTCAGCCAGGACTTCTGCATCCGGTGCAAGAGGCAGTTTTACTTGTACAAGGGGAAGTGTCTGCCCACCTGCCCGCCGGGCACTTTGGCCCACCAGAACACACGGGAGTGCCAGGGTGAGTGGGGACCTCCCCGCCCTGCCCCTGCCCCTCCCCTCTCCCTGGAGCGGGGGCTTGGTGAGAGATGTTAGGGGCCCTGGAAGAAATTACAGTAGAATGCCATATGGTGAGGGAAGGCCCAGCACCACCATGTCAGGTACACTGGGTACCTCCACATAGTAACTGCAAAACACTAGAGCCAACATAACCGCCATTACTATGATTACTACTACAACCAACACTGGCATTGTTATTAATGCCAAGGGAATCAGCAGAGTGCAGAAGAAGAGCGCTGATGTTTATTTGTTTGTTTGTTTGCTTGTTTGCTTGTTTTGTTTGAGATAGGGTCTCACTCTGTTGCCCAGCTGGAGTGCAGTGGCATGATCATAGCTCACTGCAGCCTCAAACTCCTAGGCTCAGAGAATCCTCCCGCCTCAGCCTCCCGAGTAACTGGGACCACAGGCATGTACCACAACAGCTGGCTATGCGTTTATGTTTTTGTAAAGACAGGCTCTTGCTATGTTGCCCAGGCTGCCCCTGGGCTCAAGCGGTCTTCCCACCTCAGCCTCCCAAAGCATTGGGAGTATAGGTATGAGCCACCACACCTGGCTGAGCACTGATTTTGGAATAGGACAGGCCTGGGGTCCAATCCTAGCTCTAAACCTTACCCTTTAGTGATCTTAAGCAAACCACCTCAGCTCTCTGTCCTTCGGTTTCTCCAAACGTTAGAAAAAAAAAAAGACAATAGAACATAGAGCCTACCTCATGGGGAGGAATTGTTATGAGGATAAAGTGAATTAGTACAATTTAAAGTGCTCAGTACAGCAGCCAGCACACAGTAGATGCTCAGTACGTGTCAGTATCAGTGTTATTACTGCTCTGATTATTTCCTAACAGCTCCTTGTCACACTCCTGCCTGTGAGCCCTCCCGTTCCTGCACTAGGCTGCTCCTTGGCATTCTCATCTACACTGTGCCTCTCTGCCCACGCATTCCCTCCGGGCTCACATTCATGGTCATTCCAGCTGCTGATGGCCCCTGACTCCGTGTCTCCAGCCTCCCTGAGCAGCTGATCCTCACCTCCACTGCCCTCTGGGTGCCTTCTTTCCACTCCCACTGCCACCATCCCCCACCTAACGCTCCCTCTGGGTTTCCTCTGGGTTTCAATAACCAGCTCCCTGATCCCTGGGTGGCATGCGCGAGATGCAGACATCGCTGTTGACTCTTCTCTCTCCCTCACCCTATATTCAATCCAATCTGTTCATTTATTCACTCTGAAAATATCTACTAGAGCATCTGCTATGGCCAGGCACTTTCCTAGGTGCTGGAGACACATTACAGAACAAAACAGACAAAGCCTCTGCACTCAAGGACATGACATTTCAGTGGAGAGACAGAAGCGACACCTGAGAACAAATGCATAATATTTTGGGTGGTAGGAAGAACTTTGGGGTGAAAATGAAGCAGCACGAAGCTCCCAAACCCACACCATTCAGCTCATCCCTTTCTCCCCACCCATTTGTTTCTGTCCTCTGTGCCGCCCTCTTCCCACCCTCTTGCCACCCCCTGCCTATCGCCAGGGTTCTGGCCACAGCTCCTGCCCGTCTCCCGCCTTGGTTCTCAGTCCCTCCAGCCCAGTCTCCACTCAACAGCAGAGGGAGTATTTCACAATGATAGTCTGCTCAATTTCTTTTCCTCCCAGGACCCTTCAGTGGCTCCCACTGCCCTTGGGCGGAGCCCACCCAGGCCCTGGGCAATCTGTCCCATCTGCCAGCCTTTCCACCCCCATCATTTTTTTCCTCCTCAGTTTGAGCTTATTCTCCGGCTTGCCCAGTTCCAGGCCAAATCATCCTGGGGACTCTGCTGGGGTTATGCCCTCACTTGGAGCACCTCCCGTCCCTCCCTGAGCCTGGCTAGGCTCCCCTTCCCCGCCATCCCACCCCCACTTCAAGACCCAGTCCAGGGGTTTCCTCCCCTACAACCCAACCCATGCTGCTTCTGGGCTCCCACGGTGCCTGCACTTCCCTCATCACGGCGGTGTCCAGATGGTGAATTCCAGGAGGCCTGCAGACCCTGGGCTGTCTTGTCTGCTGCTGCTCCCTCAGCACCCAGAATAGCACCTGGCATACACTGGGTGCTCAGTCTTTACTTGTCAAATGTGTGTATCTAGCAAGGTCTGGGTCCCACTGTGTCTTGAGCTTGCTGTGTCTGCTGTGTGAGCCTCTTGCTGCGTTCCCTTAGCAAACCTCTGCTCTAGGTCTCAGTGTCCAAATCTACAAAATAGGAGTATTCATAGCTACCCATATTCTGTGCCTACTTCTCATGGACTTTTAAAATAATCAAAGTATATATATATATATATGTGTGTGTGTGTGTGTGTGTGTGTGTATGTGTGTATATATGTGTATATATATATGTGTGTGTGTGTGTATATATATGTGTATATATATGTGTGTGTGTGTATATATATGTGTATATATATATGTGTGTGTGTGTGTATATATATATATACATGTATATATGTATTTTTATTACCCCCTATGAAGAACTTTTATGTCCATGGCCTCCTTTTTCTTCCTTCCAAAGTTGATCAAAGACACATGATCAAGTTTAAAACCTGTGTCCTGGTCCTGAGGGCTTCCCAGGCAACCTTCCAGCCTCCTCTCCTGTCCCCGCCTTCCTGAGACTTGACTCCCAACTCAGGCTGCCCCATCTCCCAAACATGGTGGGCCGGGCTCCCAAGGCTTTGCACACCTGCCTGGAATGGGCTTCCTTCTTCTCACCTGACGAGCTCCCCTCTCTCCCTTTAACTCATACATCACCTCCTCCAGGAAGCCTTTCCTTTAAAGCTAGACAGTCGGCCGCTCTGGCTTCAGGCCCATATTAGTCTGTGCATGCATTCGTTTCGCTCTCATTCCAGGCTCTTATAAATAACTCTGCTCCTAGCAGGTGGAAGTGGTGTCTTCAGTCTTCAGAGGACTGAACCCCTCAAACCCTGCCCTTGGATCTGAAGGACCCTCACTGCCGGCTGACCCTGTCTGTCTGTCTGTCTGTCTCTCCTTTCACCCCACAGGGGAGTGTGAACTGGGTCCCTGGGGCGGCTGGAGCCCCTGCACACACAATGGAAAGACCTGCGGCTCGGCTTGGGGCCTGGAGAGCCGGGTACGAGAGGCTGGCCGGGCTGGGCATGAGGAGGCAGCCACCTGCCAGGTGCTTTCTGAGTCAAGGAAATGTCCCATCCAGAGGCCCTGCCCAGGAGGTGAGCCCCAGGACAGGCACACGAGGCTGCGGTGGGAAAGGCCCACAGGGACAGGGCGGACTCAGATCACTGCCCCACAAATAGTATCTATGAGACTGCCTGAAAGGCCACCATTAGCCATACTATCATGTGGAGTACACATCACCTTCCCTGGTGTCCTTTCAAAGGAGGGCCTTCCTTGCTGGGTTCAGTCCCAAATACATTAGGAAAATTGAGCTGGCCAGGAGTTCCCAACCCTCTCAAACTGAACACCCCCCTTTTAATAAGAAGGATTTGGGAATACCCTCTTTATCATTCTTAATGAAGTTCATGGAGAATGTGGCCTACTTGCAAAGGTAATTTTTTTTTATCAGTATAGTGTCCTAACTGTAATATAGAGGAGAAAGAAAAGAAATTTCTTGATGGAAGCGCTTGGCCCAACATACCAACAGACACTTAGGGAAGTACAATCCCAGTGAGGACCGCGGCCGTGGTCAGCGCCCCAAGTACGTGGCCACATCGCCATCAGAGATGCGATTTCCCAACAGTGACCAATGATTAGTAAGGTCCAACCCAATTGATCTCTGATTGACACCACACTCACAGTGCCCTAGAATCTTCAGTGAATGGAAGTGTTCGAAACCAATTGGTATTCATGAGTCAAACAGAATTCAGCTCCCAGCAAGCAGACTTTTCAGCTACGTGAGGGTGGGGCACGATGTGAGAGAACTGGATGGAACAGGGGGACAGCTCGTCTTTGCGGGGGACTGTCCCACGCTGGATCCCGATTGCCGTCCACTGAATGCCACAGGAACCCCCTTCACTGTGCCATTCAAGACCACTACACGTATTTCCAAAATGTTTCTGGGGGCTATGAAGGACCACTGATTTACATAGAAGAGAGGCCACAGGGTGTGCTTGGTAAGATGTGAACGGTGAGTAGTATTGGCAGTGTTGACTGGGCACTGTGCCGAATTCTCTATAATCGTTAACTCATGTAATCTTCGCAGTGATGCTATGCGGTAGGTGTTATTAGCACTATCCCCATTTTACAGATGAGGGGACTGAGGCCCAGAAAGGTTGAGTCACTCACCTAAGGGTCACAAAGCCAGGGAGCTGTAGACCTAGAATTCAAACGTAACTCGTCATGCAAAGAGGAATCTAAAGTCATGATGAAGGATGAGGGACCTGGAACCAGGCCACCCGGGGCACCCAGCTGGGACATAGTGGAGCCAGGATTTGAACTCAGGGACACTCCTCTTTCAGAAGGACTTGTGCTATTTGGGTTGGGAGTGCAGCTAGCAGAGATAGGAGCCTTTGGGAGTCATGTTGGGCAGGTGAGGACAGAGTGAGGTTGAGGTGGAACCAGAGAACCTAAGAGACCCCAGAGCCAGAGCAGGACTCACACAGGAGGCAGACAGTTCTTCTGCACTCATTACCACATGGCACCTCTCATGGCTCCAAGAGCTGGGGGTGAATGGCTGTTGGGGAATCATGAGGGGAAAGCTTTTCCCCTGGATAATAATAATCACAATAACTGCAAACATTCATAAAGCATCTACCATGTGCTGGCTGTGCTTAGTGCTGTGAAACATGACTCTAATCCTCGCAACAACCCCGCTGTAGCTCCCTGCATCACCCAGGTCTTGGCTGCAGTGGCTCCTCCTCAGAGAGGCTTCCCAGGAGTCCCCCTCCCCGGAGTCATTTTCCATCATATCACATGGTAGCACTTGCACCCTTCTGAAATGAGCCTTCTCATTCTCGTGTTTGCTTGTTCAGCGTCTGTTTTCCTTACTGGAGTGTGATCTCCAGTGACGGCAAGGGCTTTATCTGCCTTGTTCACAGCTGTCTCTCTAGTGCCTCTAACACAGTCTGGCACATAGTCGGTATCCAGTTAATATTTGTTGGATGAGTGGATGGATGGCTGAATGCACAGGTGGGTGAGTGGGTAGGTAGATGGGTGGATAGGAGGGTAGATGGGAGGGTAGGTGGGTGGATGAGTAGGTAGGTGGATGATTAGGTGGGTGGGTAGGTAGGTAGATAGGTGAACAGGTGGATGGATAGGTGATGGGTGGGTGCCTAGGTGGATGGATGGGTCATTGGGTATGGAGGTGGGTGAGTAGATGGGTGAATAGGTGGGTGAGTGTGTAGGTGGGTAAATAGGTGGAGGGATGGGTGGGTGACTGGATGGGTACATGAGCAGCTGGCAGGCAGGCCTAGGGAAGGGGTAGGGACACAAAGCCACTGGCCCCCACACCCCCACATCAGAGCCGGCAGGGCCACTCAGGCAGCACCCACACCCCATCTCCAGATGCTGTCCTACCTGAGGCCTGCACAGTCAGCTCTGCAGCTCAGAGTGGGAGTTGGCCTCAGTGCTCCCCAAGAGCTCAGAGTGGGCGTGGGGAGCCCCAGAGGTGGGTAGCCTGGTCTTAGCTCCTTGACTCTGCTCTGCAGAGGAAGGAGCCAGGACTGGAGCCACAGCCCTGACTCTTGGGGAGACGGGCACATAGTTGACACCCAAGGAATAAAACTGCCCTCCCCTTGCCACTAGGCTCAGAGGGTCTCTAACAGCCTCGCTGCGCACCTTCAGAAAGTGACTCATGGAGCCTCAGGTTCATCGTGTTCAAATGGACACACAGCTCCTTGCGGGGAACTGAATGGGGCCCAAGCAATGTAGGAGAATGTCCTGGGTGTGGAGACACTTTGTAAAGCAGAAACTTAGGGCTGGCCTTGCTCCCAACCATGCTGTGGTCTTCTCACCTGTCCATAACAATGACAGGCAACTGCTCAGAAGAACTCCCTGGGCAGCGGGCACAGCCAGAGTGGAGGTGGAAGGAATAAAGGAAATAAAGAAGAAAAAGAAAGGAAAGGTAGCCTGGCACAGAAAAATGATAGAAGGGTGGAGAGAAAGAGAGGACAATTGGAGAAGACGGGACTGGGTGTGGCTCAGACCCTACCTGCCTCTCTCGGCTGTTGTGAGTTTCGTATACATAAAGCACTTGGGGCTGTGGCCTGCATACAGTGAGCGCTTGCTAAATGCTGAAGTATTGTTGCCACAGTGTTATGCAGAAGTTGGTGCAGGGACACAGATGAAAGGTGTCCAGCGTCCAGCACAGAGCCTGCTCAGCTATGGAAGGAGTGTGCCGGGGAAAGCCATGGGGACTCCCATGAGGCCACCCGACATGCTGATTGGGGGGCCCCAGGTGAACCTGCAGGCCTGGCCGAGCCAGATGTCCAGCACAAGAAGGCCCTGAACAAGTTAGTGGCCCTCGCCACTCCCTGAAGACCTAGAGAGAAAGGTTCAGTTTGGGGTACCTTAGCCCACGGTCCAAACTCTCAACAGGAGGGACTGCAAGGTCAGTGCCCAAATGTTCTGAGCCCCGTTGTTGGGGAGTGGGTGGGGCACCCTTGTCTTTCAGGACTGAGGAGGCTCCCAGGACCTAACTGGCCCTGCAGCCTTGGTCACCGGGCTCTGTCCTCTCATTGCAGAGAGGAGCCCCGGCCAGAAGAAGGGCAGGAAGGACCGGCGCCCACGCAAGGACAGGAAGCTGGACCGCAGGCTGGACGTGAGGCCGCGCCAGCCCGGCCTGCAGCCCTGACCGCCGGCTCTCCCGACTCTCTGGTCCTAGTCCTCGGCCCCTGCACACCTCCTCCTGCTCCTTCTCCTCCTCTCCTCTTACTCTTTCTCCTCTGTCTTCTCCATTTGTCCTCTCTTTCTTTCCACCCTTCTATCATTTTTCTGTCAGTCTACCTTCCCTTTCTTTTTCTTTTTTATTTCCTTTATTTCTTCCACCTCCATTCTCCTCTCCTTTCTCCCTCCCTCCTTCCCTTCCTTCCTCTTCTTTCTCACTTATCTTTTATCTTTCCTTTTCTTTCTTCCTGTGTTTCTTCCTGTCCTTCACCGCATCCTTCTCTCTCTCCCTCCTCTTGTCTCCCTCTCACACACACTTTAAGAGGGACCATGAGCCTGTGCCCTCCCCTGCAGCTTTCTCTATCTACAACTTAAAGAAAGCAAACATCTTTTCCCAGGCCTTTCCCTGACCCCATCTTTGCAGAGAAAGGGTTTCCAGAGGGCAAAGCTGGGACACAGCACAGGTGAATCCTGAAGGCCCTGCTTCTGCTCTGGGGGAGGCTCCAGGACCCTGAGCTGTGAGCACCTGGTTCTCTGGACAGTCCCCAGAGGCCATTTCCACAGCCTTCAGCCACCAGCCACCCCGAGGAGCTGGCTGGACAAGGCTCCAGGGCTTCCAGAGGCCTGGCTTGGACACCTCCCCCAGCTGGCCGTGGAGGGTCACAACCTGGCCTCTGGGTGGGCAGCCAGCCCTGGAGGGCATCCTCTGCAAGCTGCCTGCCACCCTCATCGGCACTCCCCCACAGGCCTCCCTCTCATGGGTTCCATGCCCCTTTTTCCCAAGCCGGATCAGGTGAGCTGTCACTGCTGGGGGATCCACCTGCCCAGCCCAGAAGAGGCCACTGAAACGGAAAGGAAAGCTGAGATTATCCAGCAGCTCTGTTCCCCACCTCAGCGCTTCCTGCCCATGTGGGGAAACAGGTCTGAGAAGGAAGGGGCTTGCCCAGGGTCACACAGGAAGCCTTCAGGCTCTGCTTCTGCCTGATGGCTCTGCTCAGCACATTCACGGTGGAGAGGAGAATTTGGGGGTCACTTGAGGGGGGAAATGTAGGGAATTGTGGGTGGGGAGCAAGGGAAGATCCGTGCACTCGTCCACACCCACCACCACACTCGCTGACACCCACCCCCACACGCTGACACCCACCCCCACACTTGCCCACACCCATCACCGCACTCGCCCACACCCACCACCACACTGCCCCACACCCACCACCACACTCCCCCACACCCACCACCACACTCGCCCACACCCACCACCAGTGACTTGAGCATCTGTGCTTCGCTGTGACGCCCCTCGCCCTAGGCAGGAACGACGCTGGGAGGAGTCTCCAGGTCAGACCCAGCTTGGAAGCAAGTCTGTCCTCACTGCCTATCCTTCTGCCATCATAACACCCCCTTCCTGCTCTGCTCCCCGGAATCCTCAGAAACGGGATTTGTATTTGCCGTGACTGGTTGGCCTGAACACGTAGGGCTCCGTGACTGGGACAGGAATGGGCAGGAGAAGCAAGAGTCGGAGCTCCAAGGGGCCCAGGGGTGGCCTGGGGAAGGAAGATGGTCAGCAGGCTGGGGGAGAGGCTCTAGGTGATGAAATATTACATTCCCGACCCCAAGAGAGCACCCACCCTCAGACCTGCCCTCCACCTGGCAGCTGGGGAGCCCTGGCCTGAACCCCCCCCTCCCAGCAGGCCCACCCTCTCTCTGACTTCCCTGCTCTCACCTCCCCGAGAACAGCTAGAGCCCCCTCCTCCGCCTGGCCAGGCCACCAGCTTCTCTTCTGCAAACGTTTGTGCCTCTGAAATGCTCCGTTGTTATTGTTTCAAGACCCTAACTTTTTTTTAAAACTTTCTTAATAAAGGGAAAAGAAACTTGTAAATGCTTCTTGAGCATCAAGAGGGTGTTGCAAAACCATGATACTGCTGAGTTTGGAGTAGCAGAATTTAAAACATGTGGAGTGGTTTTCACAGGAATGCTTGGGGCTGAGAGGGGTCAGAGTGTATTGGGGATTGGGGTGGGGTTTCAGCTTGGGGGGAGCTGATAAAAGAGGAGGGGCCCTCAGCCCCTCCAGGCTACTCTCAAGAAGCAGACTCAGCCAGAGGCAGAAGAGGGTGACACCTCGATCCCCAGAACCTCGCAGTTTCACGAACCAGATGTCTCAGGGACCAGGGGTACCTAGGAGGTTGACAGTCCCACGGGGCCATCTAAACACCCTGGGCTGCTGGTGAGAGTGGCCTTGGCATTGGGAGGCACAGGTGGGAGCTCCAGCCTGTCACCAGCTATCTGATGGGGTCCAGGTCAAGTCACTTCCCCTTCCGGGGCCTCAGTTTTCCCATGTGATGAATGTGATGAAGAGGAAGCCTGGCTAAATTAAATCTATTGCCGAAATCTGGAAGACCCAACAACAGAATCCCCTGGGGAGCCTTTTAGAAATTCAGGTTTTGGGGCCCTCCCCCAGATCTATTCATTGCAAACAAGTTTAGGAGCAGGCAGTGAGAGCAAACATTCTTTCCAGGACAAGCTGAGGGGAGAGGTGGCTCTCAGATGACTTCCAGCTCAGAGGGCTGAGTCTAGATTTGCAGCTGCAATTCTGATTCTGACCTCAAGGCTCAATGATCTGATTCTACAGAGTTTAGTCTGTATGTGTGTGTGTATGTGTGTGTATCTTTTTAATTTTTTTTTTTTTTTGGCAGGGTCTTGATCTGTCACCCAGGTTGGAGTGCAGTGGTACGATCACAACTCACTGCAGCCTCAAACTCCTGGCCTCAAGCAATCCTCTTGCCTCAGCCTCCCAAGTAGCTGGGACTACAGGTGTACACCACCACACCCAGCTAATTTTTTATTTTTTGTAGAGATGGGGGTCTCAATATGTTACCCAGGCTAGTTTTGAACTCCTGGCCTCAAATGATCCTCCCACCTCAGCCTCCCAAAGTGCTGGGATTACAGGCATGAGCCACTGTACCCAGCCCCTATATAAATAAATATATATATAAATATATATATATATACACACACACACACACACACACATACATACACTATATAGTGTTTTCTGTTAAGATTCCAGTTTTAGGATGCTGAACGTTCTAATTTTCACAATTCTAAAAGACCAACATAAGGGTAGAAGTTTCCAGTACTGCAATTCCCTGGCCATGTTCTTTCTTCTTGGGGGGCCTGGTCCTCTGTCCTCAGCTGGGGGCTGTGGTGGTTTTTTAATATTTTCAAATTACAGGATGAAATTTCTTCAGGGCCTAAGCCCCTCCTATAACCTTTCCATCTCAGACGTTCCCTGCCCCCAGCTCCAATCCTTTCAAATCCCAGCCTCTCCCACATTCTCTGGAGGATTGAGGGGCCTCTCTGGGAAGGAGACTCTGCTGTCAGGTGGGCATCGCCCACTCCCTTCTTACAAGCCAAGCTTGGAGAAGTTCACAGAGAAGCTCAGAAACAGGGTGAGGTCACACAGCCAAAGAGAGGCAGTCTGGGCAGAGCCCAGGGGGAGGTTCCGCTGCTATTGGCCTTCTGGATGCTATGCCAGAGGGAGAGAACAACCCCTTGGCCAGAGCTGAGGAATCCCTGGTGGGTTCTTCCTGTCACCGCTTCCAACTGGGCCACACTAGGGCCCTCTCTGCAGTTCCCCCCACCCGCTCACTCCATCCTCATCCTCACCACAGCCCTGCATGTCATTCCCACATGCTGCCACCGGATGACGGCAGTCAACCAGGAACAGGTCGCAGCCAGGCTTGTCAAGGAGCGCATTTCTGAAACGGGGTCGTGTTGCGGTTCTCTCCTAGCAGGACTGGAGCAGGGTGGAGGGTAGCCGAGGGCAAGGGACAGGCTGCCTCAGACCGAAGGACTGACTGCCTCAGGCTGAAGGACAACAGTTGCAATGGGGACTTCAGCTGAATGGCCTTCTCAGCTGTGCAGAGAGTGTCAGACTCAGAGGTCCCTGTCCCAGGTCCTTCCTTGCACAGAAGGGAAATCTGACTCAGAGCATGACCTCCTGCCCAGACATCTGGCCCAGGTGACCTATGGGGATTACACCTCTCCATTTTCGCTTGGAAGAAAATTTCTTTTTTCTGTCTTTGTTTGTTTGTTTTTTAAGATGGGTAATAGCTCTATCGCCCAGACTGGAGGTCGGTGACATGATCCCGGCTCACTGCAGCCTCGACCTGCAGGGATCAGTTGATCCTCCCACCTCAGCCTCCCAAGTAACTGGGACTACAGATGCACACCACAATACCCAGCTATGTTTAAAATTATCTGTAGAGAAAGAGTCTTGCTATGTTGCCCAGACTGGTCTTGAACTCCTGGGCTCAAGCGATCCTCCTGCCTCAGTCTCCCAAAGTACTGGGATGACAGGTGTGAGCGACCGCACCCAGCCCAGAGGAAAATTTCAAGCCATCGTATGTGGACCTTCTAACTCAGGAAATGTGCATTCTTATAATACAAATAATAGTAATGATGAGGATGAGGATGATGACGTCATCTTATATTTATGGAGCACCTATTCTGCACCAAACATAGCTAAGCATTTCAGGTGCAATATCTAATTTCCTTTGCTTTTCTCTCTTCAGCATAAATCATAACTACCATTTTTCTACCAATTCCTCTTACTAACCTCGCATTTCCCACCTATCTCCTGCCACCTTCACAGCTACGTTGCCAGCTAACTTCTAGGAGGAAAAACTGAGGCTCAAGTTCAAGTCATTCAAAATCCATCAGTCTCACCCATTCATTCATTCCGTGAATATGCATAAAGTGCCTACTGTGTGCCTGGTACTGTCCTGGGTGCTGGTGATAAAGACCCTGCCTTGTCCTCCAAGCGTTCAGTCTGCAGACAGTCAATTCCAACAATGTGATAAGACCTTCCATGAGGACAGGATCTAGCATATCCTGTCTAAGGCATACAGGGGTTAGGGAGCTCCTCCTCCAGGACCAGATAGCCAAGCTGAGAATTAAAGAGTGCGAGGTGTTAATGAGATGGGTGGGGAGGGGGAGGAAACAGCACTTGCAAAATCCTGGAGAAGCTATTCATGGGGGCGCCAGCCCTGGAATTGCTAAGCCTCCTAAGCTGTCAGATCCTGGAACATGTGGACTCAGCCCTGGGGTCTGATGGCTCCCACTCAGCCCCCCATGACTCCCACCCTCACCCATAGCCATAGCCAACCTACCATCCACAAGGTGGAATGGATCCTCCAGCCAGACTTGTAGCTGAAGAAGCCTTCTCGCAAGTGGGTCTTCTAGTCCTTGCTGTTTTACCCGCTGCCCCTCCTTACCCCCCACTGCAGAACCCTCCCAGCCACAGAGTCCTCCCATCGAAGGCCCAGCAGAGAGAAGCTGTCCACCTTATCCTGCCTGAACTCCTGATCCACAGAACCCAGGAACATGATAAAATGGTTGTTTGTTTATGCCTCTGAGGTTGAGGAGGTTGTTTCATGCAATGGACAGCTGGAATGGGGTTTATGGTGGCACCTCTCTCCTAGAGTGGGAGGCAGGGAAGTGAGGTGGGTAAGAGCAGACAGAAGATCACGAATCCCGTCGCCGCCAGTGACGCCAGCTATGAGCCTTTAGGCAAGATCCTGTATCTCTCCCTGTGCCTCAGTTTTCTCATCTTCTTTTTTTTTTTTTTTTTTTTTTTGAGACGGAATCTCGCTCTGTCGCCCAGGCTGGAGTGCAGTGGCGCGATCTCGGCTCACTGCAAGCTCCGCCTCCCGGGTTCATGCCATTCTCCTGCCTCAGCCTCCCGAGTAGCTGGGACTACAGGTGCCCACCACCACGCCCGGCTAATTTTTTCTATTTTTTGGTAGAGACGGGGTTTCACCGTGTTAGCCAGACTGGTCTCAATCTGACCTCGTGATCGCCTGCCTTGGCCTCCCAAAGTGCTGGGATTACAGGCGTGAGCCACCGCACCCGGCCCAGTTTTCTTGTCTTTAAAGGGGGATAATAAAAGTACCCCTCTTGGTGTCACTGTGAAGTTAAAATACGTGAATACATGAGAAAGGCTTCATAATAAGTACTCAATACAATTTTTAAGATGATTATATCTCTTTCATTTCTTCATTCAACAAACATTTCCTAAGCACTAACTCTGAGCCAGGAACTGTGCCAAGCATTTCACATTAAAAACTTAAATTCATCCTCCTCAGAGCCATCTGAAGTGGGTTCTATTATTCTTTCCACTTTTTACAGAGGGGGAATCCGAGGCTCAGAAAGTAAGTAGTGGAATGGGAACTCAAAACCCTTGCCCTCCACCAGGCGACTACTCCATGAGCGGGCATCCACAGGCACAGTCCCACTCAGCCTGAGAAGATGAGCCTCAGGGAGAATCAGCGTGTCCAGAGCGGCACTGCCGTGTCGTCGGCTCAGCGCTGTCCCCGTGTGGCAAAAATGCCTCATCCAGAAAAGGAACTCCAAACACCCTTACTCAAATTAGATGACAATAAAGCCACACAGAGCTACCATTTTCCACCTATCTGATTGGCTAAGAGCCATAAAAAAGAAAAAAAAAGAAAATGAAACCACAGGGCCTGGGCTGGGTGGGGGTAAGCCGCCACCCTCCCCTACCTTCCTCAGGAGAGGGTGACTTGACCCAGCCTCTACAGAAGGTGAGTTGACATCTATTCAAATCACAGCGCACATGTCCCCTGACCCAGCAATCCACCTCTAGGGATTCATCCTCCAATTAGCCTGGCCCAGGGCCAGGCGCAGTGGCTCACGCCTGTAATCCCAGCACTTTGGGAGGCCGAGGCAGGCGGATCACGAGGTCAGGAGATCGAGACCATCCTGGCTAACATGGTGAAACCCCGTCTTTATTAAAAAATACAAAAAAATTAGCCGGGCACGGTGGCGGGCACCTGTAGTCCCAGCTACTCAGAAGGCTGACGCAGGAGAATGGCGTGAACCTGGGAGGCAGAGCTTGCAGTGAGCTGAGATAGCGCCACTGCACTCCCGCCTAGGCGAAAGAGTGAGATTCTGTCTCAAAAATAAATAAATAAATAAATAACAATTAGCCTGGCCCACATGCTGCAGAACAAGTGTACCTGCTTACACAGCTGTTCCCTGCAGTCCTGTGTATGATCACAAAATGCTGGAAACATCCTAAATATCTAGAGGACAGGCATTGCGATACAATGTCACAGCACTCAGTGCAACACCGCATGGCCGAGAAGCACCACGAGGAAGGATTTGACACAATGACGGGGCAGTCCCTGAGACGAATTGCCAAGTGAAAAAAGCAAGTTGCAGAACAGCGCGCATAGTAAGCCCCCACGCGGGGGGACGGGAAGGAGGGAAAATACACGTGTGTACGATTCATGAATGCACAAAACCTACAGGTGACAAAACACTCTAGAAACCAGTAACAGTGATGGCTCTGGGTGGGGAGAGGTTAGAGTGGATGGAAAGAGAGGAGGCTTACCTTTATCTTTGGTCCCTTTTGAATTTTTAGCCATGGGAATATACTACCAAGTCGAGAAAAACAAAAATGAAATACTTAGGAGACATTTTGAAAACTGATCTTTAAATACTCTTAATAAGGATTTAAATGGCTTTGACATAAATTCCAAAATGAGGCATTTTTCGGAGAGTGCCTTGAAGACAGACACATCCTTTAGCTTAAGAAGTGAGTCTCCACATTTAACCCCTGGGTGTGGTGCCCCAGCTGCCTGCCAAAGAGTGAGGGTCCAGCCCTGGGGTGAGCCGCTGCATGCTGTAGCTGTCCCAAGATCCACTTCCTCTCGTCCACACAGGTCCCACCCATCTCCACCTGCTGCACAGGTGTAGTATTAAACTTCTGCTAACACATGGTCCAGACAGACTCAGGGGTGGTCTGTACCTATGCTCACTGGGGTCCCTCAGTCCACCCCAAAGTGGAGAAGATAGAGTCCCCCAGCAAGTCACACGACCTGGGTGTGTATCAGAGCTCTATGTGCAGCTGGCGGCTTGACTTTGGATGAGTCGCTAACCCACTGAGCCTCCCTTTTTGCAGCTGCAAAGGAGACAGAAGCAATAAGTCGCCTTCCCAGGGGTGGTAGAGGACGAAATGATATGAGGCATGTAAAGCCTTGGCACACAGTAGGGCTAAGTAATGCTCATGCTCAATATTCTAACTCCATTCATTCTTTCATTTGCTCATCAATCCCCTTGACCCCCAGTCGAATCTGTCCTTCAGCCTAGACATTCCTTCTCCAGGAGGCCTTATCTGATCCGCCATCTCTTCCCCAATCGGAAGTCACTCTTCCTCCTGTGACCCCATCTCCCTCCTGTGATCCCATCTGCCTCTGGTGATCCTATCTCCCCCATGTGACTCCCTCCCTTCCCTCCTCCGAAGCGCCATCAGATACCTTGGACCATGGCAGATCTCTATTCAGTCTAAGTCCTGTCACTGTATGGGCCACAAGAGAGCGGCACTGACCAGGAAGCAGAAGGAGCCAGGCCTGAATTCAAGGCTGGAGAGAATACACGCACCGCTCACAGCTGGGCGGCCCTGCTGTGCACCGGACACCTTGCTGCGTGCCAGGCACCTGGCTGAGCACTCTGCATGGTTTCGCTCATCGGAGCCTCGAGGGTTCCCCATGAGAAAGGCACTACTATCGCCACCCTTCCATCATCCCCCATTTTACCTGCTGTATCGTATTTATTTTTTTACTTGGACTTAGGGTGCCAAGACCTGGGTTAAACATCCTCATCAATTCTGCAAACTGTCTGTTGCACAGTTGGATTGAATTGGATTTCGCTCTTGATGCTCTTCTGCCCTTTCCCCTCCCCCTCCCCCCAGGCATCTGCTCCTGTGAGTCTGTTCTCTGGGCTTGAATGTGTGTGAATCCTTTTAACGCGTGTAGGGATGTTCTGTAGCTTGTGAGTTTTTTTCATTCATAGAAATGGGCCGGGCCTGGTGGCTCACGCTTGTCATCCCAGCACTTTGAAAGGCTGAGGCGGGTGGATCACCGGAGGTCGGGAGTTCGAGTTCAGCCTGGCCAACATGGCGAAACCCCGTTTTTACTAAAAATACAAACATTAGCTGGGCGTGGTGGTGCATGCCTGTAATCTCAACTACTCCGGAGGCTGAGGCAGGAGAATCGCTTGAACCCAGGAGGCGGAGGTTGCAGTGAGCCGAGATTGCGCCACTGCACTGCAGCCTGGGCGAAAAAGTGAGACTCTGTCGCAAAAAAAAAAAAAAAAAAAAAAAAAAAAAAAAAAAATCACAGAAATGGTCGTGTGCTACAGATTTCCCCGTCTTCTATTTTTTTTTTCTCTCATGCACCTGGTGTTTTTTATTTTTACTTTTTGGTTTTCTTTTTCATCTGGTTTTTTATTCATTTTATTCTTGTATTTATTTATTTATTTATTTTTATTATTTTTTTGAGATGGAGTCTCACTCTGTCGCCCAGGCTGGAGTGCAGTGGTGTGATCTTGGCTCACAGCAGCCTCAGTCTCCCAGATTCAAGCAATTCTCCTGCCTCAGCCTCCTCAGTAGCTGGGATAATAGGTGCGCACCACCACACCTGGCTAATTTTTGTATTTTTAGTAGAAATTGGGTCTCATCGTGTTGGCCAGGTTGGTCTTGAATTCCTGACCTCAAATGATGCACCTGCCTCAGCCTCCCAAAGTGCTGGGATTCAGGCATGAGCCACCGCACTCATCCCTTATCTGGTATTTTTTAGAGGCCCCTGCAGTTTGCTTTTCCTGGCATCTACATGGATTCTCACCTACTGCTCACATCCTCAAACACCATCACAGTGACCCATGACCTCGAATGGGCTCCTTCTGGAGCTGCAGGAGAATTTCTCTGGGGTATACACTCAAGAGGAAAATGCCTGGGTCATCAGATATACTCTTTCTTAGGCTCTTAGGTACTAAACCAGTCCAAACACCCAGCAGCAGAACATGGAATTCCCATCGCCCACACCCTCATGAATACTTGGAAGTTCCTGACTCTACTATTTGCTAATCCAGGGAATGGAGGTAAAGGGTGTGCCTCACTGCTATTTAGCTCTTGTTTCTCCGACTACTACTGAGGTTGAGCATCTTGTTGCTTGCTTGTTTGCCGCATTTTACAGGTGAGGCAACTGAGGCTCAGGGCCCTAGGTCGTAGGAGGTGGAGCCAAGCACACAGCCAGGTCTGTGAGAGGCCGAGACCCTGCTCTGAGTCCTCACACTGGGGAGCCTCCTCCACATCAACAGTGATGCATTCATCATCCAACAGTTCAAGTATGATTGCTCGCACCTTCATGATCTTAGGGGACTGTGGTAGGGGGCAATGGCTTTGAAAAAGCAGAAGCAATTCCTGCCCATTAATCCAATGACAAGCAAGAGGAGCTGTTCAGGAGGCTGGACCTCACTGTCGGGCGGGGCAGGGAAGGTACTGGGGCATCAAGAGGGGTCTGCGGATGGCCAAGCCCACCCATCATGTTGAGTGGACACAAAGGAGGAAGCAGGAGCCGCCAGGACCGAGGGCATAGAGGGTGTCTCGTCCCATGTCAGGGCTGGTGCAAGCTAGACTTTCCCCATTCCTTCTCTGACCTTACCTCCTGCCCTCTCCTCCTTGCCCCACCCACTGGCCTTTTTCTTTCATTAAAAACACCAAACTCATTCTGGCCTCAGGGCCCTTGCACTTGCTATCCCCTCTGCCTGGAATGCTCCTCCCCCAGATCTCCACATGGCTAGTTCCTTCTCTCCCTCTACATCTCAGTTCAAATGTTACCTCTTCAGATGCACTTGCTATCCCCTCTGCCTGGAATGCTCCTCCCCCAGATCTCCACATGGCTAGTTCCTTCTCTCCCTCTACATCTCAGTTCAAATGTTACCTCTTCAGAGAGGCTTTCCCTGATAACCTTCTTTAAATATCGTACCCCCTCCAAATCATTCTCTATTTAGTGCCTTGAAAATGTTTTCTTCCTAACTCTTATCATGATCTAAAATTATTTTCTTTACCTGTTTACCTCTTTTTTTTTTCTTTTGAGACAGTCTCACTCTGTCTGCAGGCTGCAGAGTAGTGGCACGATCTCAGCTCACTGCAACCTCTGCCTCCTGGGTTCAAGTGATCCTCCTGCCTCACCCAAATCTCATCTCAAATTGTAATCCCCATAATTCCCACATGTCAAGGGTGGAACCTGGCGGGAGGTGATTGGATCATGGAGGCAGTTTCCTCCATGCTATTCTCAAGATAGTGAGTGAGTTCTCACAAGATCTGATGGTTTTAAAAGGGACTCTTTCCCCTTCACCTCCTTCACACGCTCTCTCACCTGCTGCCATGTAAGACGTGCCTGCTTCCCCTGCTTCCCCCTTCTGCCATGATTGTAAGCTTCTTGATGCCCCCCCAGCCATGCAGAACTATGAGTCAATTAAACCTCTTTACTTTATAAATTAGCCCATCTCGAGTAGTCTCTTTATAGCTGTGTGAGACTAGACTCATACAGCAGTTATTTCCAGTTTTTGGTGATTATGAGAAAAGCTGCTGTAAATATTTGCCTACAGTTTTTCTTTTTAAAACACAAACTTCTCTTGCATTACTCTTTGTACCTAAGAGTAGGACAGCTGGGTCATTTTATAAGAAATTACCAAACTGTTTTTCTAAGTTCCAGTTGTTAGATACCCTCTCCAGGTATTATCAGTTATTTTTCATGTTAGTCTTCTAACAGGTATGTAGTGGTAGCCCGTTGTGGTTTTAATATATGTTTCCCTGATGACTGATAACATTGAGTATCTTTTCATGTGTGTTTTTGCCATCAATATCTGTTTTTGGGTGAAATGTCTTTTTAAACCTTTTTCTCATTTGTTATTGGATTATTTGTTCTTATTATTGAGTTGTGAAAGCACTCAATATATATTCTGGATATGAGTCTTTTATCAGATATGACTTTTGCAAATATCTTCACCTAATCTGTGGCTTGTCTTTTCATTTTCTTGATAGCATCATTTGAAGAGCAGAAGTTTTGAATTTTGATTAAGTCAAATTTATCTTTTTTTCTTTTACGGTTTATGCTTTTTGTGTAGTACCTAAAAAAATCTTTGCCTAACTCAAGGTCACAAAGATTTCCCTTCCATGTTGCTGTCTGGAAGTTTTACAGTTTTAAGTTTTACGTTTAGATTTATGGTAGATTTCAAGTTAATTCTTGTATATGGCAGGGGGTGGAAATTGATATTTTTTTAAACATATGGATGTAAAATGCAATTTCACTTCTAGAAAGTTATTCTACATATATTCTCCTACAAATGTACAAAATGGGTATGTATTGCAACCTTCCTTTAAAGAGCAAAATGTTGGAAACAGCCCCTGCTCATCTCTTGAAGACTGGTTAAGGGGCTCTTCCCCCTTTGCTTCTTCACACACTCTCTCGCCTGCTGCCATGTAAGATGTGCCTGCTTCCCCTTCTGCCATGATTGTAGGTTTCCTGAGGCCTCCCCAGTTACAAGGAACTGTGAGTCAATTAAAACTCTTTCCTTTATAAATTACCCATCCCTGCAATTGGCCCATCTATGCAATGGTGAACCATAAAGACACAGAGCTGGCATCCAGCTAGCAGCCATATACTACTGTAGGGTTGTGCACTGCTCGGGCCCATCCTGATTGGTCAGTTGAAAGTTGTGTAATATTCTGAAACCATCTTCGCCAAGCATCCAAAAAAAAAAAAGAAGCACTTTATGGAGTGACATAGGAAGATCTCTAAAGGGTATTGTTAAAGTAACAAAAGGACAGTGTGAAATACTGTGTGTGAAGTTTGTCATCACTGGGTAAAAAATTCCTATGTGTGCATACCGTATCTCTGGGCAGATTCTCAAGAAATTGGTGACAGGGTTTTTGCCTCGGGGAAGAGGGGTCTGGGTGTCTGGAGGGCAGGGGTGGGAGACAGGCTTACTGTTACCTATGACCCCTTTTGTACCTTTGAAATTTTATGCTATGGATATGTACTATACATTCAGAAAGTAAATACAAAAAGAAAATAAAACCAAAGAAACCCTACTTTCCTGGGGGTTCCTGGTCCTCCTTCATGTTTCTCTTTAGCTATCACAGGACACAGTGGCTCTGCCAAGCCAGCTTGATGGAGAATGCCTGTTTCTCAGATGGGGAAACTGAGGCTCGGAGCAGGGCTGGCATTCCCAAGGTCACCTGGCCTGAACCCAGCTACCTCAGGTATCCCCCAGGGCCAGGGGGGTTGAGAACCAAGGAAGAGGCCCTAAGTCCCACCTCTCAGGGACTCAGAGGGAGTCATTTAAGGCCCCACTAAGAGCCAAGCCCATCTGGAAGCTATCGCCACCCCAACCCTGGGCTGTGGAGGAGGGGAGGGCGGCGACCCCAGACTGTGAGTGCATCTGTTCCTCATCAAGGCTCGTGCTCTGGACTGAGTGCCAGCCTTGGAAATCCCACTTCACATCCAGGCCAGGCCACCCTCATACCAGCCACCCTCCCCAGTGGGACCCGAACAACCCCACGGTGCATGTGGAGAAACAGCCCAGAGAGCTGCAGGCGGCAGTGGGTTTCTAGTTCCAGTTGGCACGTTCCTTTACCTCTCAAAGCTCCAGGTTCCCTGAAGCTCTCTGCACACTCAGTACAGCCTCCAATGAGCAACATCTGATATCTCCCAACATCCCTCCTAGTCTCTTTATTATTATTTGGGCTGGAGGTGCCCAAATAATACCAACAGCTAATGTGCCCAGCACCCTTTCCAGCACTGAGCATATATCAACTCATCTGAACTTTACAGCAGCCTTCTGAGCTACGTGCTCTTACTAGCTTGGCTTTTCTGATGACCCAGCTTATGCTCAGAGACATCAAGTAATTTATCCGAAGTCACACAACCGGCAGGGGACACAGCCAGGATTTGAATCAGGGCACAAGGCTCCAAAGCCCTCACTGCAAAGCACTCCTCCATGCACCCAAACCTCTTCCCCGTCGATCGCTGATTCTTGCGGGTGCCTGTGATGGTGTCCACCGACATGAAGATAAACACTGATCCCAGCCAGAGCTGACCGACTGAGAGACACGCATCTATTGCACGGCTGTGAGATGAGTCTCGACCCTCTGGCCACCTGGAACTGATCGGAACAAGAAAACAAGAGAGGCAAGGAGGCTGGGGACTGCCAGGATGGAAGAGTGAGGGCAACAGGCATCCTCTCACATGGGGGCTGGAGTCTAGAACAGCCTGCGGGAGAGGAGGGGATTGACAGGACCCCCAAATGTAAGGAGCACATGCTGCCCGTCAGTCTCATGTCCAGAAACCTGCCTTAGAGAAATGTGCCATGCGCACAAAGAGGCGCTGAGGAGGACTTTCCCTGAAGCCCTGTTAGGAGGAATCTGGCTGCAGCCCAGATGTCCATCAGAGGCAGTTGGCTGTACTGATGGCGGCCCAGCCACACGGTGCAAAGCGATGCAGCGATGACGAAGCTTGATGTAGGGCTCACTCATTGCGCCAACAGGGCTCCGTCCAGAGCCCATTGTGCAGCAGACAAAGGAAGCTGCAGGGCAGTGTGCATAGCGCAGCCATGCGTGGGAGCAGAGCCGTGAGTGAATGGACGGAACACAACCTAATTCTTTGCCTTATATCCTTCTAGAACTTTTTTCACAGAATTAATCATTGCGGTATCAAAATTAGAAAGAGAGCAGGCATGCCATGCCGTGCCTGGCACATGGTAGGGGCTCCGTGTTTTGAACCTCTGATGACTTGTTTGGTGCTGGGTACAGCTGTGAAGAGGGATGTCAGGGTCCTCGTTCCCAGATTGTGGCTCCCAAGGCCTGACTGAGAGCAACTTTGAGGGAAGTGGCAGGAGAGGTGCAGGGAAGCTGGGGCAAGGGAACAGTGGGAGTCTGGGGGCTGAAGTCTTACAGTGGATTCACTGAGGGCTTACGATGGCTCAGGCGCCATTCTAAGTAGGACATCTTCCAATATCAGTCCCATTTTACAAATGGAGAAACTGAAACCCAGAGGGCTTAACTCACAGATAGTAAATAACAAAGTTAGGCTGCAACCCCAGGCCATCTGACATCAAACCCCATGCTCCTAATCACTATTTCCGTCCAGCCCTGAGGAGTGGCTGACGGGCTGCCCAACTCACCTTCCACCCACAAACCTCCTGCCCAGTCTGAATGCTGGCCCGGGAGCCTGAAGACCGGCTGGTGACCCACTCGTTCTTCTGCTCCTCCGTCACTTCCAATGTGGGATGACAGCAGCCAGCAGCGGGTGGCCACTCAGCCAAGGGGGCTGGGAGTGATTAGGGCCAAGCCAAGTCTTCTGGATAGAGGTGCCTTCTACATTTTAATCAAGCGGAGCACAGAAAGACCAGCTCAAGTTGCTGTTCTTCAGTAGGGCTGGGCTGGACTGGAGGAGAGAAGGGCACGCAGTTAGGAAAGGGGAGAGAAGTGGTGGGGGGATGGGGCAGGAGCTACGATGAGATAGGGAGGCAGAAGGAATGCGGAGGGCCCCTGGGTTCTGAAGACCAGTCCTCCTGGAGTTAGCAGACAGTCCTGGGGTTTCGTCTCCTTCCTGTCTGCTTCCTCCTCTCTCCGGCTTTCAAAATATCTACCCTAGTAGACATGTAGGCTCAGGGACAATTTCAGGTCCTGTCTTCTCCTACTGATGGAAACTTTCTTTTTCAGGGGAGTAAAACTGGGGTCCCTGCAGAAGGGTGTCTGGGTGAGGAGCACTGGAAGGCTTGAGCAGAGAGGGCCTGGCTGCATCCCATGGCGAGAGGTCCAGTCCCATTTCCCACCCCCACTCCAGGCAGAACATCCGTGGGGTAGATGAATGCTGATCCCCAACACTGACAGAGAGGTGACCAGATGGGAAGCAACCAGGCCAGTCTGAAAGCCAGAAGGGGCCTCAGAACTGTAAACCAAAAATAAAATTACAAGCCCCCTAACTGACTGAATGGACCTCCCTCTCGGCCAACGGGACCCAACAAACCCTGAAAATCTAGTTCAGGCCATGATGGAAAGTGGGGATCAGGCATGCCTCATACCCTCCTCCCTTTGGAATTCAGGCACAGTTGACCAGCATTATCATGAAAACAGAGAGCTTGGCAGGTCGTGGTGGCTCACGCCTGGAAGGCCAAGACGGCGGCAGATCACCTAAGGTCGGAGTTCAAGACCAGCCTGGCCAACATGGTGAAACCCCATCTCTACTAAAAATACACAAATTAGCCAGGCGAGGTGGCACACGCCTGTAATCCCAGCTACTCAGGAGGCTGAGGCAGGAGTATCACTGGAACCTGGGAGGCGGAGGCTGCAGTGAGCCAAGGTAGTGCCACTGCACTCCAGCCTGGGCAACAGAGAGAGACACTGTCTCAAAAAAAAAAAAAAAAAAAAAGAGAGAGAGAGCTTAAGACTGACAAAGCATGCTCTTTGTAGCAATAAGATACCAAATTCCTCATATAGCATCACACAACAGATAGCAGGACCTGAAAGAAATTGAAGTATTTTACCCCAAAATATATTTCTTTGACATATTTTTGAAATGGCCCTACAACTCTGTCTCTTGTAGAGAAAATCTACATCCTGTAGAGAATCCTTTTCCCTTTCCAGGTCTTTTCCTGATGCAGGAGAGATTTAACAAAGAGTCTGGGACCTTTACCCTCTATTCTCTCTGAAGGCTGCTACCTGCAGACTTCATTTGCATAATAAGAACTTTGGTCTCCAAAACCCCTTATCTTAACCCAGACATTCCTTTTTATTGATTCCAGGTCTTTAGATAATAACTTAACTCTTTCAACCAATTGCTGATCAGAAAATCTTTGAATTCACCTATAACCTGGAAGCCGCCCACTTTTCAAGCTTCCTGCCTTTCCCGACAAAACCAATGTACACCCTACATGGATTGATTAATGTCTGCCTGTAACTTCTGTACCCATAAAATGTATAAAACCAAGCTATAACCCAACCACCTTGGGCACATTTTCTCAGGATCTCTTAGGGCTGTGTCACGGGTCTTGATCACTTACATTTGGCTCAGAATAAACCTCTTTAAACAGCGTCTCACTCTGTCCCCCAGGCTGTAGTGCAGTGGCACGATCACAGCTCACTACAGCCTCAACCCCCCTGAGTTCAGGTAAGGTCTACAGGTACGTGCCACCATGCCTGGCTAATTTTTGTATTTTTTTTTTTGTAGAGATCAGGTTTCACCGTGTTGCCCAGGCTGGTCTTGAACCCCTGGGCGATCCTCTAACCTCTGCCTCCCAAAGTGCTGAGATTACAGGCATGAGCCACTGCACCCAGCCACCAATCTGCATTTTGAATACTAATAGCAACACTGGCAATAGCAATAGAATGGCAAAACAACAGTAATGATGGTAATTCCCAGCAGCCACTGAGACCAGGCACTGTGCATTTAATCCTCACCGTAAGCCTGGAACTGGGCCATCCTCATTTCATGGATGAGGAAACTGAGGTACAGGGATGCTGAATAATTTGCCTAAGGACAGACAGCTGGAAAATGGTGGCACCAGACCAGCTCCCTCCTCAAACAGAGGAGAAAAGGGAAGCCCAGAGCGAATGATCAGCTCCAGGTCACACAGCAAGTTAGAGGCCGGGCAGGGGCTGTGAGGGCACTGACTCTCAGGGACAAAGGCATCCTAACCAGACTGACTCCATATTGAATAAAGGCAGAAAAGCCAAACCTGCTGGGTTACATTTCCAGGGGCGTGGACGTGCTTGGTTACAAGATGTTCATGGTTGAGGGAACGAGTTAATGATGTTACTTAAAGACGCAGAACTTATGAAAATGTCCCAATATCTTAAGAACAAAAAAAAATTCTTAGTTTAAGAACAGGTTTCGGCCGGACGCGGTGGCTCACACCTGTAATTCCAGCACTTTGGGAGGCCGAGGCAGGCAGATGGTGAGGTCGGGAGATCGAGAACATCCTGGCTAACACGGTGAAACCCCGTCTCTACTAAAAATACAAAAAAAACTAGCCAGGTGTGGTGGTAGGTGCCTGTAGTCCCAGCTTCTCGGGAGGCTGAGGCAGGAGAATGGCGTGAACCCGGGAGGTGGAGCTTGCAGCGAGCCGAGAGCGCGCCACTGCACTCCAGCCTGGGTGATGGAGCAAGACTCCATCTCAAAAAATAAATAAATAAATAAATAAAAATAAAATAATAGGTTTTGCTTTAAAGATAATAGTACACTCATAAATTCTTGCTAAAATCAATAGTAACATAGGAAAGTAGCAATACTAGTAGCCTGTCACAAGCTGATCATAAGCCTTTGTAACAGAATACACTACTCTTCTTTTTTTTTTTTTTTTTTTTGAGACAGAGTCTCACTCTGTCACCCAGGCTGGAGTGCAGTGGCACCATCTCACTGCAACCTGGACCTTCGGGGCTCCAGCGATCCTCCTGCCTCAGCCTCCTGGGTAGCTAAGACCACAGGCTCAGGCCACCATGCCCAGCTAGTTTTTTGTATTTTTAGTAGAGACAGGGTTTCATTATGTTGGTCAGGCTGGTCCCAAACTCCTAGCCTCAAGTGATCCGCCCGCCTTGGCCGCTCAACATGCTGGGATTACAGGGGTGAGCCCAGAGTACACTACTCTTAACTGCCTATATAAGCAAGCACTGGTACTTGAAATGGGTACGTTCTCCTCTTGCTTTCTGAGGATGCCCTACTCTGTCATTGATTAGTCTCTAATCCTATCTTAACTTCACTATGCTCTGCAACTCACCCTGAATTCTTTCCCATGTGAGATCCAAGAACCCACTCTTGCGATATGGGATAAGACCCTTTTTCCGGTGATATCAGGACCATTCTTTTCCTCTGCTCCACATCAGACCTTCGGGAGGGTGGGAACGCGCTCTTGTTGGTGCCTGGACTCAAGCCCGGGCCTCATCCTCCCTAGGGATCCAGCTTCCACTTGGAGAGAGAGAAAAAGAGAGAGGGAATGAGAGAAAGGAAGGGAGAGGGGAGCAGCTTAAGTCAAGTGGAGAGTGGGGAGGCAAATTTGGGCTGAAACCCCTGTCTCCTCTCCTCATTGGAATACCCTCCTTGCACCCCCCAGAGCTGGCATCCAGATGAGTCTTTTTGGAGGATCATCTACCCCTGCCACCATTGCCCACCAAAACTTGCCACTTGTCCCAACCCACTCCCTCTGCAGCCTCATCCCTCCCCACCCCCCATCACTCCACTCCAGCCACACTGCTCTCTCCTTTCTGTTCCTGAACATGACAAGCTCCTTCCAGCCTCAGGGCCGTAGCACTTGCACTTTGCACTTGCTGTTCCCTCTGCCAGGAACAGCCTGCCCCAGATCTTCACGTGGCTCACTCGTTTGCTGCAGCACTTTCAGCTCCATGTCAGAGAGGTTTCCTCCAACCTCAAGATGCACAGCACCACCTCCTCCCTTCACCCACCGCAGCATCCTGACCTGCTGTCTTCATGTCACTCATCCTTCACCAAACTCCTTTTGTATATTTACGTGTTTGTGTGTTTATTGCCCATTTTCTCCCACTAGAGTCGCAGCCCCTCGAGGTCCAGATTTCTATCTACTTTGTTCACTTCTGTGTCCTCAGCCTATGAATAATGCTGGACATATAATGGGATGAAGGTCCAAGCCCTGATGAAAGGCTGTGCTGGAAGGAAGCTGAGCTCAAGAACATGCCCTTTGGAGAATGTCCTCCGACGCCTCATGGGCCTCTGTATTCTTGTCTGTAAAATGGGACTGACATCAGTAGGGCCTTCATTGCTGGGCCATGGTGAGGATTAAATGAGATCAGGCCTAGGAAGAAACCAGCCCGCAGCTGGTGAGTGGTAAGTTCTCTTGAATATTGGCAGAGCCTCCTATTATTACTGTTGTTAGTATTGTTATTAATCTCTTACCCTGCCTGCAGGCTTGATGTGATGGTGATCATGGGCTGCTCTCTGGCAGTCAAGGCGGGAGGACTGAAGGACAATCTGGTTCCAACACCACAGTGTGGCTGCCGTTGGCTCTTCAGGCCTCCTCACCTCCCACCCTCTGCCTTTGCTGGTGCCCACATGGAATGTCCTCCCGGGCTGACCGTCCTGCAGACTTTTACAGGTGCCCCCCAAGCGGTGCATGTGGGTAACGTTCGTAAGCCCAAGAGGCACCATGCACCAAATACCAAAGAGGTTTTTTCCTTACTCACCAAAAGCCCAACATGGGTGCCCCTGGTAAGTGAGCAGCTCTAGCGCACAAAGATTTCAGGACCCAAGCTCCTGGTGTCCTGCAGCTCTGCCATCTTCCACTGTGGCTGCTGAGGTCTTCAGACCTGTGTGCATCAAACCCATCAAAGGGGAAGGAGTGCAGTGGATTGGAACTAAGGCACGTGGCCACTCCTGACTGCAAGGGAGGCTGTGGAATATGGCCTAGCCACATGGCAGGAGGAAATGGCAGTGGGTTCACTCACTGCTGGATGGTTCCTGCTTCAGATGGGAGCAGATTTTCTCCCTGGGACTCTGGGATTATCAGGGAAGGGTTCACAGAGAAAGCACTCTGGGTGTTGCTGCTGGTCAAAGGGCCACCATGGGGGAGGCACTTGGTCCACTCTTTCTTGAAGACTGGGTCCTTGAAGTGGGTCCTTCCACCCCCGGTTCTAGAGACGCAGGTGCAGAGAGGTGAGGTGACATGGCGAGGCTGCCCACGCACTTGCATGATGGAGACGGGTTTGAACTCAGGTCTGTCTGGCTCAAGAACTCATGCAGGGAGACTGTCTTGGGGCACAGAAAGGACATTGTGCACACTGGCATTCAATGCAGTTTTTATGACTTGTCCTTTTTTCCCAGGAAGATCCCCTATTTGGACTGTTCACTGAATTATCCTCCCCTCACATTCCAAATAAAAATCCTGGAGGATAAATAAGTCAATATCTTCATGTTCCTGGAAACGATGGAAGAAACTTTAAGCCAAGAACAGGGAATTTATTGCCTCCACTGATTCAGAGGTATAGGGAGTGTAGCCACCACTTCCCTACTCTACTAACTTTTGTGCTGGAGAACAACCCTACCCACTCGAAGCCTATGTGGTAAGGGTGGCCACTGGAGTGGTCAATTGGCACATCCCATCTCTGCTGGCCACCACAGTCCATTGCAGAATGACAGCATGACCCCATTAGAACCAATATGATGCCTTCCCAGGGTTTTTATAGGGACCTGAGACAGAGAGTTGTATTAGTCAGGAATGCTTTCAGCTACAAGTAACAAGGAATTTAATGCAGTGGCTTGAACATTGGAAGTTTATTTTTCTCTTAGGAAGAAGTCTGAAGTTAGGAGTCCAGCAACTTAACAATGTCATGGCTAAAAAATAGTGAGGACTTTTTTTTTCTCAGCCTTTCCTCCTGGTTGCAAGATGGTCTGTGCTTCAAATATCATGTCTGTGATCAAGGCAACATGGGAAGGGGCAGCTCTGGCCACAACTGCTCCTGTTATCAGAGGAGCAAAAGCTCTCCCTCACCACAAACTTCAGCTTATGTCTCATTGACCAGAACTGTGTCCTGTGGCCACCCAGCTGCAGGAGGGTCAGAAAGGTGGACGTTTGGCTGCACAGCCTTTGTAGCAGGAAGAGGCTGATGGGAATGGGTGCCAGATTAGCCAACCTCAACGGCCTGCTATGAGGCATTCTTTTTCCCTCTGGACTTGGTCTTTTGGGAGTAGGGGAGGGGAGGCTGGCATGGCAGGCAGCCGTCTTGTCACTTTGACTTGAGAGCCTCTCTAAGAATGGAGCAGTTCTAGTGATAGTGTTTGAGACCCTAGATCCAGCCATGCCTGAAGGCTTCTACTTTTTGATGTATCTGTTACATGAGAAAAAAATAGTAATAACAATGATAATAATTACATATCTATATCTTCTTTGCTTGAGCTCACTTTAGCTGGACTTTATTCTTTCTCTTGGGCAAGAGAGGCCTTGTGGTAGAGGAGGTAACACACAATGTTTGGAATTAGGCCTCCCTGGTCCCAGTCTTCATTCTGCCATGAGTTTGCTTTTGGTCAAGTCACTTCACCTCTCTGAGTTCCCAATGCCTAATCTGTAAAATGGGCTAGTGTGTGGATCGAGCCAGAGGTGGCAAGTGCACCATCCTGTCGTAGAGCAAACCCTCGACACAGCAGCCACCTCTCTCCTTCCTTTCACTCATCCCCATGAATGCTTGCAGTAGCTGGAGGTGAATGTGTTAGGCTGTTCTTGCATTGCCAGAAAGAAATACCTGAGACTGGGTCATTTATAAAGAAAAGAGGTTTAATTGGCTCACGGTTCTGTAGGCTGCACAGCAAACATGGTGGCATCAGCTTCTGGGGAGGTCTCAGGAAGTTTCCAATCCTGGTGGAAGGCAGAGGGGGAACAGGCACATCACCTGGTGAAGCAGGAGCAAGAGAAAGAGGCGGTGGGGGCCTCACACTTTTAAATGACCAGCTTTTACAAGAACTCCCTCCCTATCATGGGGACAGTACCAAGGAGATGGTGTGAAACCATTCATTAGAAATCCTCCTCCATGAGAAATAGGAACGCTTTTACACTGTTGGTGGGGGTGTAAATTAGTTCAACCATTGTGGAAGACACCGTGGCAAATCCTCAAGGATCTAGAACTAGAAATACCATTTGACCCAGCAATCCCATTACTGAGTATATACCCAAAGGATTATAAATCATGCTACTATAAAGACACATGCACACATATGCTTAGTGTGGCACTATTCACAATAGCAAAGACTTGGAACCAACCCAAATGTCCATCAATAATAGACTGGATAAAGAAAATGTGGCACATATACACCATGGAATACTATGCAGCCATAAAAAGGGATGAGTTCAAGTCCTTTGCAGGGACATGGATGAAGCTGGAAACCACCATTCTCAGCAAACTATCACAAGGACAGAAAACCAAACACCACATGTTCTCACTCATAAGTGGGAGTTGAACAATGAGAACACATGGACACAGGGAGGGGAACATTACACACTGGGGCCTGTCAGGGGGTGGGGGGCTGGGGGAGGGATAGCATTAGGAGAAATACCTAATGTAAATGACAAGTTGATGGGTGCAGCAAACCAACATGGCACATGTATACCTATGTAACAAACCTACACATTCTGCACATGTATCCCAGAATTTAAAGTATAATTTTAAAAAATCATAAAAAGATGTTTAATTCTATCATATGCTTTTTCTGCAACTGGTGAGAGAATCGTATGGCTTTTCTTGTCTTAGTCTGTGAATTATAGTAATTTTCGATTATTAAATTAATTTTGCATTCCTGATAGATATAAAAAAAGAAATCCTCCTCCATTATCCAATCACCTCCCACCAGGCCCTACCTCCAACACTGCAGATTACATTTCAATATATGATTTGAGCAGAGACACACCTCCAAACTACATCAGTGAATTTCCCAGCTGTGTTTGCTATGGCACTTGTTGCAATTTCTCTTTTTTCTTCAGACCAATGGCCTTAGGGCTGAGGACTCTCACTGATGTATTTCTGTATATACAGCCCATAGCACAGGCCCTGGTGCACAGTAGGTGCTCAGAAAATGCTTGAATTAGAAAGTACAATATTTCATTCACCCATTTTTCAAACATTTATTAAGCACCTACTGTATGCTAGGTATATAGTGGGCAACAGGGATATAGAAGTGAATGGCTTAGATATAGTCCTTATCCTCACAATCTAATGGGAAAGTGCTATGTTCTGAATGTTTGCGTCTTCCCAACATTTATATGTTGAAACTTAATTCCCATGTCATAGTGTTAGGATGTGGGGACTTTGGGAGGGAACCACGTCATGGGAGTGGAGCCCTCATGAATGGAATTAGTGCCCTTATGAAAGAGGCCCCAGAGCAGCCCCTTACCCATTCCACCATATGCAGACACAGCTAAAAGTCTCCCAGAGCCAGAAAGCAGGCCCTCAGTAGGCATCTAATCTACCCATGACCTGATTTAGACTTTCCAGCTTCCAGAACTGTGAAAATAAATTTATTTTTAAATTTTTTTTTTTGAGATGGAGTCTCGCTCAGTTGCCCAGGCTGGAGTGCAGTGGCTCGATCTTGGCTCACTGCAACCTCCACCTCCCGGGTTCAAGCCATTCAACTGCCTCACCCTCCCAAGTAGCTGGGACCCCAGGTGTGCACCACTACACCTGGCTAATTTTTGTATTCTAGTGGAGATAGAGTTTCACCATGTTGGCCAGGCTGGTCTCAAACTCGTGACCTCAAGCCTTGTCCTCTCAAAGTGCTGGGATTACAGGCTTGAGCCACTGTGCCCAGCCCAAATTTCTGTTGTTTATATACTACCCAGTTCATGACAATTTGTTATACCAACCTGAATAGGCTAAGACAAGAAGGCAGTCAACAAACAGATAAACAAATAAATTTAGAATATGATGCCAGATAGTAAAAGCAGCATGAATAAACAAAGTAGGGAAAAGGAGAAAGAGTTTATGTGAAGGATGCATTTTTATAGGGTGCCCAGGGAAGATCTCTTGAAGGGCAAATAGTTAAGCCTAGACTAGAATGTTAGGAAGAGACCCACTGGGGAAACAGTGATCCAGGCAGAGGGAGCAGCAAATACAAAGACCCTGAGGTTGGGCTTAGATGAACCAACGCATAGTAAATGCATGAACCTATGTATAGCAATCCCTGGGCTAAGAACATTCCTCCGCCCCAATGTGGAATTTTTTAAATGTCCACTTTAAGAAAATAGGCAAATTTGAGAATTTCTGTCATCCATACAACTTCTTCTTGCTGCCAACTCTCAGAAACGGATTCTGCCAAGGTCATGTTTGTGGGGAACCTGTGCCTGCCCTTTAGAATTTCTAGGCCTGGGCTTGCATGATTCTACCTTCCTGAGCAGCCCACTGTGCATAGGCTCTGGGCTCAAGCTTTCCATCCACTTACCCATCTAATCCTCCCCCACCCCCTGCATGGTAGAGACCATTATTTCACCTTCCAAAGGCAAAAACTGAGCTCAAGAAGGTTAAGTGATGTTCCCGGGTTCACTCAGCTAGAAGGTGGAAGGATTAGCCCAGGTTGTCCGAGGCCAGAGCCCCAAGACTGGCTGTCCTCCTGCAGCCAGGTTGTGCAGCAGTGTGAACTAGGCTGGGATCTCCACCCTCAGGGCTCAGAGTCTGCTCTGTTAGGGTCCAAGCCTTGTGTCACCCACATCTTTAGTGCATTGCTGGCTTTTCAGGTCCCAACTGTGGTACCTTGAACCCATCTCCTCACTTTGATGGAACTCAGTTTTTCTCAACCACAAAATGGGTATCATAGCACCCTGTTCCTTTGGGTGTGAATCTGGAAGAGTGGGGGCACAGTTAGTGGCCCACAGGAAGGCCTTGGCAAGTGTTCCCTGTAGTAGCAGCAACAATAATAATAATAATAACCACAATTGTCCCCAGGGACTGAGCCCTCTGAGTGCTGATGGTGATATATATTGATCTAATTTTATCTGCCAGCAGCTACACAAGGCTGGTAGATGCTACACTGACCCCATTTCACAGGTGAGAAAACTCAGGCTCAGATGAGCCAGATCCAATCACTGCAGAGTCTGTTTTTCTCAACCTCTTGCTCTCCCATAGTTGACCCTGTGATTGTTGTCAGTGCTGTTATTCCTTGTATTACCAACAGTGACAACATCCTCAGTGATTGGGGCAGTATGTGTTAAATGCCAGGTGCAGAACAGGAGGGAGGACGCTGTGAAGTGAGGGGCCAGAGATGGTTTCCTGGAAGGAGGGAACTTGAAGGATGTTGCTGCCACCTTGGGGTTGGGTGGGAGGCCTCAGCACTGCTGCCCCCGACTCTGATAGCCGGAGTAGCAGCATCACAAGGAAACGTGAATGTGAAAAGCCAACTAAGGACAGGGCAGAATTCACCCTGGCTGGAGGGAGGAAGCGCTTGCATCAGGAAGTCTTTGGCTTGAGGAGGACCTGAAACAAAGGCTGGGCCCAGGACGGGTTTCCAGGGGAAAGTTTCTGATTAGTGTGGGAGCAGGATGGCCACGGTAGGCGAGGCCAGGGTCCAGGGAGAGAAGAGGGTAGGCATGCCCTGTGGCTGGGATGGTCAAATGTTTGCTGCTTCCAATCCAGGCTGGGCTTCCCATGCTGTCTTCCCTACCTCCAGGTCCCGCTGGTTGGGGCTTGGGGTGTGGAGGGAAGGGGCATTCCTTTGTTAGGGAAACAGAAGCATAGGAGAGCCAGGGTGATGCCATTTTAAAATCAACTCTATCTTAAAGTTAGCAAGGCACATTCCTTCCCAATCACAACCCATGATCATAAGATATTCACAGCTAAGGAAGCCACTTAATAATACCTGCAAGGACAAACTCCTAGACAGCAAAATGTCCAGATGTTTCCATGTCACATAACAATGTGTGCTTTTAAAATAATTATAGTCATGCTTTGGTGTACTTACACATTAAAATGCCAAGGATAACTTTCTTTAAATCAACAGAGTCATGGATTTTGTCACACTGTCAGTCCACTCACATAGAAATAGCTTAGCTTTTACATGAATAAGACTCATATATAAGAAGAGTTTAAAACAAAGACAATGTGTTCCTCCTCTTGCTTTCTGAGAACACCCTTCTCTGTAACTGAGTAGCTTTCAATAAACTATCTGTTCTCAATGCACTTTGAGACTCGCCTTGACTTCCATCTTGTGTGAGGCCTAAGAACCCTTTTTTAAGGTTTGAATCATGGCCCCTTTTCTGGCAACATCTTCCTAGCGACCATGAAGGAAGCATAAGACGAGACCCTATGCAAAAGAAATTCAGTCTGCAGCACCAATTGGCCGCTTCTGGTAAGTGAGGTCCATCTTGGTGTACTATGTCAGGCTTAGGCAAGGACACTTGCCTAGAAACTCAGGCTAGAGGCCTGGCCCATGGAGTCAGAGGCCCAACTCACAGGGTTGGAGGCCCTGGGGTATAATACTCAGATCAGAGGCCCAAAGACCCATGGGGTTAGAGCCCCTGGGGTATATTTGGAAAAATGGAAGTAGCTTTGCAAGATGTTTGCTATGAACTAATCCATATTGTCCCCTTTGCCAGGTATGGGAATGCTGTAATTCTCATCGTTTCCCAGCTTGTTACCTTTGCTTTACTGCAGGCTTATGACAGCTCTGTATGGCCAGCCCAGAAGTTTGCTACTTTCACTTTCCATGCTTGCCTCTGATTATTGCTTCTAAAGCTCTCTTATCTATTTCTCCCTTTTCTTTTCTGCCTGCTTTAAATCTGCTGTTATTAAGCTGCTGGTGTTGAGATAAGACTCACTGTTTATGTATTACTAATTCAAGTCTACTTGGAGATTTTATTTTTCTTAACGCAGTTCAGTCAGTTCTAGATGAAATGGAAACATTAGAAGTTCATTTGACACTGAAGGAAAAAAAGTGGAAAAGGCTTTTTTAAAATTTAATTTCATGTATTCTTTTATTTATTCTTTATTTCTCTTTTTTTTTAGACAGGGTTTTGCTTTGTCACCCAAGCTGGAATGCGGTGGCACAATCACAGCTCACTGCAGCCTCAACCTCCTGGGCTCAAGTGATCCTCCTACCTCAGCCTCCCAAGTATTCGGGACCACAGGTGCACACCACCACACCCAGCTAATTTTTTTAATTTTTTATAGAGACAGAGTCTCACTATGTTCCCCATACTGCTCTCAAATTCCTGGTCTCAAGAGATCCACCTGCCTCGGCCTCCCAAAGTGCTGGGATTACAGGCAGGAGCCATCATGCCCAGCCAGGCTTTAAAAAAAAAATCTTTAAATCTTTTTTTAAATCTTTTTTTTTTTAACTTCCATAAAGACCACTTTACCCAAAATTTTGGTCCACAGCTTTCCTTAGATTACTCATCAGATGTCTGGGTTATTTCCAATTAAGAAAAGTTTATGATATGGGAAAGCATGTTTCTAAAATTATAGAATGGCTTTATCTATAAAATGCTAACATCTGACAAACAGCTCAGGATTTCTTGCTTTTTCCAGTTTTGGATTCACAGGCAGGTGAGTGCCCTTCCCTTTGTTGTCACTTTTCAGCCTAGCCTTCTGAGCCCCAGGAGACACAGGGACACTCATGTTCCTTTATATTCTCAGGGCCCAGGGGTTGGAGCCCCCCACTCAGAGTTGTTGGATCCTTTGGGCTGTGTCTGCTAGGGAGCCTGGAGTTGTGGGATCCTTCTGGTCAGCTGCCACCCTGTTGTGTGGCGTTTTTCTGCCATTAGGGGCCCAGGGTTGCAGTGTCACCCTGATGCATAAACTGTTTGAGGCTCAGAGGGATATTTTCCAGCACCTACTGCTTCTTGATCCCCTTGTCCCTTTTGATGACTACATATTTGCTGTCTGTGCCTCAGTAGTGACACATGTCGCCCTACGCTCACATGCTTTGAAGTTTACACTTAACATTTTCCTTCTGGTCTTGATGATTTTTGCTTCTTAGGTTGTTTAATTTGGCTTCTCTCTGGGTGATGTTAGAGGCCAAAAGCCTGCCAAGATCTAGTATTACTGAGAAAAAAATAATTTTGTCTAATTCAGAAGTTATCTGAATTGAAGGTCAATTCAAATTACGAACTTGAAAATGTTTACTTATGAAACAAGGTAGAAAGGGACCAGTAGGTAGGGGAGAGAGAGAGATGTAAAGAAAGTTATAAATATGAAGATGTATTTATGGTAAGAAAGGTTATAAAGAAAAGAGAATAATTTTATATGAAAAAGAGTCTTATATGGTAAATTTTTGTCCTAAAGTAAAATGACTGATTGTTTAGCAAAGAGGGAAGTTCAGGACAAGTCAGAGAGTCCAAGCATGTCGTAGATGGTCTATGTAAGTCATAAAGGGGAATTTGTAAAAGGGATTTTGCATATCATTAGTTATAAAAAAATTATTTATAATAATTTGTCTAAAAATTGGTCCCTTACATCAAAACAAGGTTTTCTTAAGATATTGATATGCTCTTTAAATAAATTATAGGAAATCTTACCTTTAATTTTATAACCTTTTTCTTTTTAAAACTTCTCAGAATCATATCTCAAAAGTTCAACTGTTGCTGTGCTGTTGAAAAAAACAGCTTTCAGCTGTTTCTCCCTTTGAGAATGCTTGAGATAACAACTCTCTCCTTTAATTTTTCTGTCAGCTTCTATAACTTTCTCCCTGCTCTGGTTCTAACTGTTATTATGGCCAAATGCTAACATATTGCATCTTGGAGGTCTAGAAAAGCAATGTTTTCCTCTAGTATAACTGCATTCTGTACACTGGCTTTTCTTGATATGTCTAAATTTTTGATGCAATCAGAAAACTTCTCATGCTGTTCCTAGGAGTCGTGTATTCCCCTGCTATATTCATAACCTTGAAAACAGTCTTCCTGTGTCTGATTAAATTCAAGCACTTTTTTCATCAAGTTTGACTTCCTGGTTATCTAAATGAGCTTCCAATAAGTAAAAGTAGTCACAATGCAGTAGGGCTTTTTTGCTTTTTTAGTAGATGGCTTAAAAAACTGAGATTTTATGTATTATCAAGATAATTTCTATGCTGTCTTTATTAGGTTTTTCATTGCTAAAGAAACTGAGATTTTAAAAGGGTTAAGGTTTTTACATCCATGTAACCTTCTGTATTGCCTTTAAAGTATTTCGATGATCACTTTGGGTAAATGAGTAAATGCTATTTTACCATGATCTGTGCTTCTGTTTTGATCAAATGTTTTGAGCCTTTTAACATCTTTAACAAACATCTTCAAAATCAAAATCCTAAATTAAGTCTCTGACTTAGTCATATTGCTGGGGCTTACTAAAGCCATAAAAATTAAGCACTGAAGATTGTAAGTCTTCACAGCTTCCAGTCAGACCATGAACTCCAGGATCACCACCTCCAGCCTGATAATTACATATATTGGAAGAACATCAATTAAAGGGCTCACTCTATCCCCCTCAAAAGTATCCTTATCAGGTGCTATTAACTAATCCTTGTGCTGTTAAGTTACAGGGCTTTGACTTCTGGGTCCAATATCTCATCTAAGGAAGGCACTGACTGCCAGGCACAGTGTCTCATGCCTATAATCCTATCACTTTGGGAGGCTGAGGCAGACAGATCACTTGAGGCCAGGAGTTTGAGACCAGCCTGGCCAACGTGGTGAAACCCTATTTCTACTAAAAATACAAAAATCAGCCAGGTGTGGTGGTACGTGCACATCTGTAATCCCAGCTGCTTGCGTGGCTGAGACATGAGAATTGCTTAAAGCTGGTAAGTGGAGGTTGCAGTGAGCCAGGATCATGCCACTGCACTCCAGCCTGGGTGACAGAGTGAGACTCTGTCCCAAAAAAGAAGAAGGCACTGACTTCTGCCAGTATCTGACACCAAACTCAAGTTGACCAAAGTCTCATCTTTAGACCTAGACAAAAGTGACAATCAAAATAAACTGCTTCCATAAGACACAGAGGCAGTCCTGTATTCAAAAACATTAAGACTCATTTAATAATTTTGCCTTTATCTGAAATAATATAATTTATTCTATGTCTTGATACTAAATAATTTAAATGTTTAGCTACCTGTGAACTTCCTTTCCTGTCACTCTCAAAACTAGGCAGGGCTTATGACCTTTTGTTTAAAATGTTGTTAATGCCTTATGTTTTGTTTTACCTCCAAAATTTGAAACTATTCAATTCCTCCATGCCCAGGGACTATCACATGAGATTGTAAGGGCCAGTTTTGAGGAATAAAATTAATTCTGACACTCCAAATCAAGGACAGGCACACAGATCCCTAAATAGCTAAACATAATTCTTGAGTTTGTATAGCTAATTGCCACAAACCAAGATTATAGTAGCTCTTGCATAGAATTTCTAAATAAGCCAATTTTATACCTTGCCTTCTGGCTTTTGATTTTTGGCTCTTATGTTGCTTAAAGAGGCTTTAAGGTTAATGAGTGCCTGCTCACCTCCATTCCCATCTGGCCTAGAACATTTGATTGGCTATAAGTCTTTTGACTCTAAGTTCCTTGACCATAAGTGTTCCACCAAGGGAGGTAATGGACCAGGGCAAGTAGGACACCACCCCAGCATTGATATGGGACACAATAAAAGCTTAGCCTTCAATACTGCCTCTGGCACCTCGACAAAATGGGATACCATAAACTAAACTAATAAATAAACAAATATCCTAAGCCACCCAACAGAATGGACCTCTCTCTTGGCAAAAGGAAATAATAATTTTTTAAAAATCCTGAACAACTGGTTCTGGCCATGATGGGAAGAGGGACTGGGGGGTCAAACACACCTTGCTGTACAATTCTCCCTCTTGGAATTCGGGCACAACCAACCAGCATTAACATTAAAACAGAGATCATAAGACTGATAGAATAGAAACTTTATAGCAAGAAGATTTCAAATTATAAACAGGATCTAAGACCATGCCTGGCAAGGATTAAGTCTCCACCTTAAGGTGAACAGAGTCATATGTTACATGCATGTTTGTTCAGTATACATGTGTCAGGACCATCTTCATAAATATTCTCTCCTGTTTGACCAGGAGATTTCATGCTATTGAAACCTTGGAAGGAGGGATCCCCTGCAGATCAGCTTTCCCCAAAATAGAAAGAGCCCTACCATGTACTTCCAGGCACTCCTACTACAGTTAAACTTAAGGGATTACATATTTGGGTACATTTATCCCAAGTTAAACCTGTCTCTCATGAAGTCCCACAGGCATCTGGTGCAGGGATCACCATTCCAGAATACTCCTGTGAGCCAATAGTGGATCTACGGCTTCTCTTCCAGAAAAAGCTATCCAGTGGATAAGTGATGCTCTGAAAATAAGACCACTGGTTTTAATGTTGAGCTTGCTCTATTATAGAGTTGGAGGATATCTGTTTGCAGAATGGGTACAAACTTTGTCAACCTCGGGCTTACCTTGGCATATCCAATCAGCTAATTTGAGTACAGAAAATATGTACTCTCCTTTTTCCAAAAGGACACACACCACTCTTTCTTCCCTTCCTCCACCGAAACCAAGAAATTCCTTCTTCATTTAATCCCAAATAACTTAATAGCATCCCTACCTTAGGCTATACCATACATGATGGACTCAGTTGGTTGACAGGTATCCAAATTCAGTTATCAGGCAAAGTACCCTTATGCCTTGGAAGGCATAATGGTTATGAGGACTAGGCTCTGATTTTTTTTTTTCTTGTCCAAATTCCTATCTAAGGGGTCTGGGAGTCATGCCCTACAAACCATAAATTCTCCTCAGATGGGTTTTATTTAACCCTACATATTGTGACTTACTTTCCGACCTGACCCTGGCATAATGTTATGAGACAAGGAAGAAAATTAAAATATTTTACCCGAAAACATGTTTCTTTGCTATATTTTGAAATGGTCTTGCAAAGCTGTCCTTTGTGGGGACAAATGTGCATCTGTAAAGAATCTCTATTAACATAGCTACATCTTTTTCTTCCAGGCCCTCCCAATCCTGAAGAGGTTAAGTAAGAGTCTAGCACCTTTTTAAAGGTCTAAATAGGAAATATTTGTCATCTATTGTCCCTGAGGGCAGCTACTATGAGACTTCAAAAGAACCTTGGTCTCCACAATCTTTTATCTTAACCTAAACATTTCCTTTCTATTGATCGTAGGTCTTTAGACAAACTCAACCAATTGTCAACCAGAAAATGTTTAAGTTCACCTATAGCCTGGAAGCCTCTCCTTCCCCCCACCGCTTTGAGTTGTCCCGCCTTTCTGAACTAAATCAATGTACTTCTTAAATGTATTTGATTGATGTCTCATGCCTCCCTAAAATGTATAAAATCAAGCTGTGCCCCAACCACCTTGGGCACATGTTCTCAGGACCTCCTGACGGCTGTGTCACAGGCCATGGTCACTCATATTTGGCTCAGAATAAGTCTCTTCAAATATTTTACAGAGTTCGACTCTTTTCATCAACAGTAACCACCCCCAAACCAACATCTATAGTATCGGATGGCTGCCACCCCAACAATGCAATCAGACTCTCCTTTCAATTGACCAAATGTGGATGGGATGGCAAAATGAATCTCTATGGTTAGGTGACTATCCTTCCCCTTGGGAATGGTTATGGGCATGTGGGTCTCATAGTTGGCCATACTCACCTTACAATTTGACTGGATGATGCACTTGGGGTCATCCCTACCTTCTAGGATGTATCCTTACACATCTGGATTCCCTCTCCACCAACTGGGAAGTAGTCAAGGTCTGTGATAGGCAACAGAAACAAACTTTTTGGTGGTTATATCCTGTGCCCATATTCTGTCTTTAAGCAACATCTATAGACGTTGAATCGCAGGTGGGAGCCCTAGCAAAACATACTGCTGTGGCTTTCAACAACACTCATCTGGTGATCACCCGTCTGACAGAAGAAACGTCCCGAATAAGACAAATGTCCTTACAAAGCCATATGGCTTTAAACATATTAACAGCAGCCCTGGGAAAATCTGTGCATTGATCAAGACTGAACACTGTGTCTATATTCCTGGTCACTCTCATAATATATCTCAGGCCATGAACTCCCTAGAGACTCATACCTCAGCAATTGACTTCCTGTCATAACAGCACAGTTTGGCCAGCTCCCCAGCACTTGGAAGGCATTCCTTTTTAGCATGCTTCGTGTTGTCACACTTATTGCTATTGGTTATTGTGCTTTTTACTTCTGTTGCACTTATTGCATGGGATTACGGAGATAAAATAGTCTGGCAGCTTATCTGCCCCTACACTTACTAAACCAAATCATCGGGATGTCATTCAAGTGAAGAGTTTCCCCGGCTCCCTACAAGGCTCTCTGCAAACTCTTATGAGAGAACTCTCTCCCAAAGGTCAACAACGTCCACTGTCAGCAGGAATAAGTTACAGAAAAATGACCTTCACCTTTCATCTCCCCTTAAGATTTAGGGTTCTCTCTTAAGTAGAGGGGGGATTATGTTTGGGAAACAGGAGCATAGGAGAGCTAGGGTGACACCATTTTAAAATCAACTCTATCTTAAAACTAGCAAGACACATTCCTTGCTAATCACAGCCCACAGTCATAAGATGTTTATGGCTAAGGAAGCTGCTCAATAATGCCTGCAAGAGTAAACTCTTACGACAGCAAAATGCCCAGATGTTCCAATATCACATAACAATTTATGCTTTCAAAACAATTACTGTCGTGATCTGATGTACTTACTAAAATGCCAAGGATAACTTTCTTTAAGTCAACGGTAATGGATTCTGTCACACTGTCGGTCTGTCTGCACAAAGACATAACTTAGCTTTTACTTAGATAAGACTCCTACATTAGAAGAGTTTAAAACAAAGACAGTGCGTTCTTCCTCTTGCTTTCTGAGGACATCCTTCTCTGTAACTGAGTAGCTTTCAATAAACTATCTCTTCTCAGTGCACTCTGCAACTCACCTTGAATTCTTTCCTGTGCAAGATCCACGAAACCCTCTCTTGGGGTCTGGATGGAGACTCCTTTTCTTTTCTTTTTCTTTTCCTTACTTTTTTTTTTTTTTTGAGACCGGGTCTTGCTGGAGTGTGGAGTGCAGTGGTGCCATCTTGGCTCACTGAAACCTCCGCCTCCCAGACTCAAGCGATTCTCATGCCTCCGCCTCCTGAGTAGCTGGGATTACAGGCATGCACCACCACGCTCGGTGAATTTTTGTATTTTTAGTAGAGACAAAGTTTCGCCCTGTTGGCCAGGCTGATCTCCAACTCCTGGCCTCATGGGATCGGCCTGCTTCGGCCTCCCAAAGTGCTTGTATTACAGGCATGAGCCACTGCACACAGCCACTATGCCTAATTTCAAGAGGGAAGGCCCTGGAAGGAGGAGATACCTGCAAGTCTTGGAGAGCACTAGGGATTGTGATTTACACTTACATGTTGATACTCTCCAGAAAACTTGGAAGGATGAGTACATTTTTGAGAAAGAGGCAGCAGGGAGAACCAAGAAGCAATAAGAAAGGTCACAGGTCACATCTAAGACCACCGTGATGTGAAAGAGGAACCCCTGGTTATGGGGTCCCCGCCATGTGATACTGACAGGTGCCATCTCATCCAATCTTCACAACGACTTTGAGGAGTGCGTATGTAATCCCCCATTGTACTGAGGAGAAAACTAAGGCTCAGCAACTTGCCCAAGGTTCCCAGCCAGTAACTGGTTGAGCAAAGAAAATGCTGGGTGGAACTGTATCAGGCTTGCTGTCTAACAGACCACCTCTAAAATTTAGTGGCTTAAAACATTTATTTTTCACATCTCTGCAGGCCAACTGGACTTTGCTTCTGGTCCGCACCAGTTTGGCTGGGCTAGATAGATGGTCTAGGATGGCCTCACTCACAAATCTGGTGGATGGTTTAGTATCAGCTGGGATGACAGGATGACTTGGCCAAGTGTGTCTCATCATCCCTCAGGCTAGCCAGGACTCATTCACATGGTGGTCTCAGGGCCCCAGGTGCAGCAAGAGAGCAAGCCCCAGAGCACAAGCCCTTTTCAAGCCTCTGCTTGAAAATGTCCCATTGGCCAAAGCAAGTCACATGGCCCAAGTCAGCATTAAGGGAGTGGAGAAGTGAACTTTGCCTCTTAATAGGGAGAACTGCAGAGTCACACTGCAAAGGAGCATGCTTATAGGGGTGGGTAGCATCTGTGGTCAGTTTTGCAATCCTACCACAAAAACAAACCCTGTTGTCCAACAATAGGGAATTGGTTAAGAAAATCCCAGCAACACCCCAATGGAGGCTTTCAGCTTATGCCACCTTGAAACACCCACATATAGAACAATATTCTGCACAGGAAAATAGTTCCGTAATATACTATTAAGTAGGGAAAGCAGGCTATGTAATTACATGTACGATTTCACAGCCATCAGATTGGAACAAAGGTAAAGCATGACCATCTCAAGGGATGGCAGGGGTGCGGAGCGATGGAGACCCCGGCACCCTACTGGAATTAACTCGACAGAGAGACTTGGAGCACAATTTGGCAACTGCCTCAGGCTGGCAGCACATATATTCCACGACCCAGGAGGAGCATGCCTGGATTAGTTCCCCAGAGGAGCCCTTGCTTGTAAGCACAAGTATTCCCATATAAGATGGTAATAGCAGTATTGTCAGGAATAACAAGATAACTGAATTAATTTAAATATCCATCTGCCAAAAACTGGATAAAGAGTTAAAAATTACATAATGCAATGCTGCACAGCAGTGAAAAGAAAATGTCCTTGGTCACAAGATCTATATGTGTCATTTATATCAATCTGGAAAATATAATATAAGCAGGACGTCGCATTCAGTATAACAGCATATACTTAAGTTTTGAGAACACAAAAATATTATACATTATTTATATACCTAGATATGAACCTATGGGCAGGGTGGGAGAGAAAATGAGACCAAGAAGGAGTTATAAGGAATACTGACATTTCCTGTAATATTTCATTGTTTTAACAATCGAAGACAAATATGCAAAATGTTAACATGGGCCCACTTGGAGTGATGACTATATGGGGGTGTATTTTGTTATCCTGTGCACTTGTCTGATTTTTTTTTTTTTTTTTTTGAGAAATAGTTTCCCTCTGTCTCCCAGGCTGGAGTGCAATGGCATGATCTCGGCTCACTGCAACCTCCGCCTCCTGGGCTCAAGCATTTCTCGTGTCTCAGTCTTCTGAGTCGCTGGGATTATAGGCGTGTACCACCAAGCCTGGCTAATTTTGTATTTTTAGTAGAGATAGGGTTGCACCATGTTGGCCAGGCTGGTCTTGAACTCCTGGCTTCAATAGATCCACCTGCCTCGGCCTCCCAAAGTGCTGGGATTACAGACATGAGCCACCACACCCGGCCAACATAAATTCCAATTGGAAGTCTGGAGATTTCAGTATTTTTTTTTTAAGAGACAGGGTTTTGCCATGTTGGCCAGAATGGTCTCGAACTCCTGAGCTCAAGCGATCCTCCCACCTCGGCCTCCCAAAGTGCTGGGATTCCAAGCATGAGCCACCGTGCCTGGCTCTAAATTTTTTTCCAGAAGAAAAATCCAAAGTAAGTAAAAGAAAATTAAAAAATTGTTGAGACAATATTCCTTTGTTTGTTGATTTTTTTTTTTTTTTGCTAGAAAATCTACCAAAAAAAATATGCATCTATATGCAGAGGAAAATTATTTGGGGGGAAAAAACTCCAAAATGTTAGCTATGGTTTTTGCCTCTGGCTGGTGAGAGCACAGGCAACATTTATTTTCGCTTTCTTGCCAATATGTATTTTCTGGCTTTTCTATGAGGGACATGTTGTGCTTGTTTAATGAAAACAAAACACAGAGGGGCCTGTTGGTTTTCTCGGTCACAGGGTCCTCTGGGTCTTTATGGGGTCCCAGGTTCCAAAATAGATCTGCCCTCTGACCTGGCAGGCTTATTCTTCATATCCTGGAGGGAGTGCCAGATGTGGGTTCAGAGGCAACCGAGCTCCCCAGGCCTGAGAAAGAACAGGCATGGCTGGTGGCCCAGACTGGGCACAGCCAAGAGAATGCATGTCCTCCGCCCTTATCCCCTCAGCCTCTGAGGAGGCAGAGCCAGGATGCTCTCATGGTTCAGAGAGGAAGCTGAGGCCAAGGAAGATACCCCAGGAAGTAGTAACAGCGTTACTAACAGAAGAAGCAGCTATGTCCCAGGCCAGTCTTGCTCAGACTGGGTGCTGCTGATACACTGGGTGACTTGGGACAAATCCAGTGGGTTTCTGGGCCAATTTCTCCAGCAGCCCTGATGGAAATTATCCTGCTTCCTCCTGCACCTTTAGCTCTCACAGGTTCTGAAGGATATTTTTATGCAAAGAGATGCTGGGTCTTTCCAATAATCGCAAAGATAATAATAACAGCTACCAACTATCAAGCACTTACATGCTAAACACTTAAATGGCATTTTCTCATCCGACCCTCCCATGGCCAGTTGTATTTTCTAAAAATGGCCATAACAGGCCGGTCACTATGGCTCATACCTGTAACCCCAGCACTTTGGGAGGCCGAGGCAGGTGGATCACTTGAGGTCAGGAGTTCGAGACCAGCCTGGCCAATGCGGTGAAACCCTGTCTCTACTAAAAATACAAAAATTAGCCAGACTTGGTGGCATGTGCCTGTAATCCCAACTACTTGGGAGGCTGAGGCACGGGCATTGCTTGAACCCGGGAGGCAGAGGTTAGAGTGAGCTGAGATCACACCACTGCCCTCCAGCCTGGGCAACAGAGGGAGACTCTTTCTCAAAAATAAATAAATAAATAAAAATTTAAAAATAAACAAAATAAATAAATAAAAATGGCCACAACACTATCCCCCATCCTATACCTTCTTCTGAAACCTTGATCCTCCTCATCAAGAGGTAGAGTCTGTTCTTCCTCCCCTGGAACTTGAGTGGGACTTTGTGGTTGCTTCTTTGACTAGATACAGAGGACTTGGCCCTGCATGATCCATGAGGCTAGGTCATAAAGATCACCTACCTTCTGCCCAAATCTCTCTCCTGAGATGCTTGCTCTGGGAAGCAGCCACCATGCCATGAGGAAGCCCCTAGCCACATGAAGAGGCCATATGCAGTTGTCCTTGCTGAGTGCCCCAGCTGAGGTTTCAGATATGTGAGTGGATGAGTTTTGGATGCAAACCCCAGCCTGCAAGTTGCTCCAGCTGACACGGAATGGAGCACAGTTGAGCTTTTCCCAGGGAACCTGGCCACAATTGCAGATTTGTGAGTAAAGTAGATGTTGCCACTGCTTTAAACCACTAGATGTGGGGATACTTTGTTACACAGTATCAGTAACTGGAAGACCCCACCACCACCGCCTTCCCAGTGAGGGATTATTTTCTCCATGTTATAGATGAGGAAACTGAGTCTCATCTACTGAAGGGAAGTCAAGATTGAGCATCAGGAATGTGGGGCTCTTAACAGCTGGGCCTGGGTCACAGGGTGACCTCAAAACCCACCCTAGGCCCCTTGTGATCCAGGAATTCTGTTTGGCTCTAGGTCTGGGTTGGTAGAAAGTGGAGGAGGGCAGTCAACCGACTTCTGTCTTGGGTGGAAAGGCTCACGGGGCCACCATGATGTCTGCTGCACAAGATTCACCACCAGACCTTCTGAGGACACACAGACCATCCCCCGGGGTTGTCGATGGCCCCACAGCTTCCCACCAGGCTCTTGCCATGTTGCCATCAGTAGCTCTGGGAGATGCCCAGGCAGTGTCCTCAGGGGCATGAGCAGCACAGGACCAGAGGCCTGGGGTCTGTTTCAGCTGCCCCACGTGCAACCCTCAATGATCATCCAGGGTGTTGAAATGCAAGGAGTTGCCAAGGGAGGGGCTGGCAGAAGGGCTGGATTGTGGGAACAACCCAGGAGTGACCCTCTCCCCAGAGTGGGAGATTCAGACTGGGGACAGTCTTCTTCTTTTGGATCCAGGTACTTCAGGACCCCAAATTGGCAAGTGGTCCTCCCGGAATGACCCTGTTTTCCCACCCTTCACTCCTAGGAGCAGGAAGTTCTGTTCTTCCAGGAAAATAGATTCCAGCATGTAACACTGGGCAAGTGGCCTCCCTCTCTGAGTATCAGTTTCCTCATGAGTGAAATGCAAGGTAAGGGTCCATGGCATCTCTAGTTACTCCAAGAGTCCATCAGCTCTGAGCGGGAGGTGGGTTCACTTGGTGGGTGGCGGGATGGAGAGTCAGGGTGCAGGCAGGCAGGTGCTTTATGCCCAACAACTCCACCCGCCTCCTGATCATTCTACTCCAGGTTTTCTTGAGCGTCACTGTACCCCACCCTTAGTCCCTTCCGATCCTGTGAGGTTGACCTGCTCCAAGGCTCCAGGCCTGGACACAGGATCCAGCCTGACCATCCACAGTAGCTCCTTCCTCTGGCTATAATAGTTGGTTCAGGAATGACTGTACGGCTCAAGCTGGAACTTTTCCAAGAACTATTAGGAAAGAGGCACTCTTAAAAGAGGTTACTGAGTTGATAGATTGGAGCTGCTGTTGCCAGTAGTGGTGGTGATTATGGTGGGAACTCTTACAGAATGAACCCAAAGGAAAATAAGGAAATGAAGGAAAATAAGAGCCTGGAGTTGGAGGAAAAAAAAAAAATCTAATATCATTTGAGCACCTGGATCCAGCCATGCCTGAAGCTCGATACCCCTAAAATTTTCAGTTAAATTGGCCAATAAATTCCCTTTTTACCCAAGCTATTTGAACAAAAGCCAAAGTATCCAGGTGGATATAAGTTTATTCTCCGTTCTCTACCTCCATGGTAGCAGCAGACAATGGGAAAATCAACATGGGTTGGTTTGTTTTTAGGATTTGGAGGCCAGACACTCAGAACAACTCACACAGAACTTCCTGCTGCCCCTGCTGGAGAGGAAAGGGGACTGCCTTCCTCTCTGCTTTGGGCCTGCAGCTCCTATTCATTCAACATAACACTCATGAGGACCCACTGTGAGCCTAACCTTAGGACAGGCAACAAACACAGAAATGGAAAGTGTGACAGCAAACCTAGAAGAGTGTTCAGTCTAGACGGTGACCAAGGCCTGCAAACAAGCCTTTCTAATGCAGGATGAGTGCTTTGGTGAGGGACAGGCAGGCAGGGGCCTTTGAGCTCCCAGAGGCAGAAGGCCTACTCCCATTGAAGTGGGAGGGACAGATGCAGAAAGCCTTCCCAGAGGAGGTGATCCCTGAGATAAGATCAAAAGACAGGCAGAACGAAGCTGGGACAATACAGGTGGGGGGAAGTTTTTAAGCAGAAGTTTCCTGCTAGGAGCATAGACACTGAGGCCTCAGAAGGCGGAAAGCATGCGGGGGAGTAAAACCAATTCCAAATGATAAGGTATAAAGTGCCAGGGAAACAGTGATGAGAATGGAGGCCACATCCGGCAGGGGCTTGTAAACCACAGAAAGAGTTGGAGTTCAAAACTGAAGAATTTTAAACAAAGAAGTCAGGGCTGGATTGTGTCTTAGAAAAATCACTCTGGGCTGGGCATGGTGACTCACACCTGCAATCCTAGAACTTTGGGAGGCCGAGGTGCGTGGATCACCTGAGGTCAGGAGTTTGAGACCAGCCTGGGCAACATAGTGAAACACCGTCTCTACTAAAAATACAAAAATTAGTTGGGCATGGTGGCGTATGCCTGTAATCCCAGCTACTGGGGAAGCTGAGGCAGGAGAATCACGCGAACCGGGGAGATGGAGGTTGCAGTGAGCCAAGATCATGCCACTGCACTATAGCCTGGACAACAGAGCAAGACTCTGTCAAAAAAAAGGAGAAAGAAAGAAAGAAAGAGAAGAAGGAAAGAAAGAAAGAAAAAAGGAAGGAAGGAAGGAAGGAAGGTCACTCTGGTTGCAATAGCAAAGGCCAATTAACCAGAGTTCACTTCTGAGGCTGTTGTTCTCCCTACAAGAGAGGAAGCACCCCGGTCTAAGAGAGTGATGGTGGGGTGTCTTAGCCCATTCAGGTTGCTATAACAAAATGCACTAAGCTGGGGGGCTTATAAACAACAGAAACTTATTTCTCACAGTTCTGGAGGCTGGGAATTCCAAGATCAAGGCACCAGCCGATCTGGTGTCTGGTGAGAGCTCCCTGCTTCATAGACGGTGCTTTCTTACTGCAACGTCACCTAGCAAAAGGGAAGGCCAGCTGTCTAGGACATGTTTGATAGGAGCGTTAATCTCATTCCCAAGGCAGAGTCCTCACGAGCTATTCACTCCCAAAGGCCCCACCTTCTAATACCATCACCTTGTTGACTAAGTTTCAATAGATCAATTTGGGGGCACACAAACATTCATATCATAGCAGGGAGTAATGATGACAGCTGTCACTGGTTGAGCATGTATTATGTGAAAGGCTCTGTGTTAACCTCACTGCAGGAATCGGTCTTTTAGCCACTGTAACATCACTATTTTGACAGAAGAGGAAACTGAGAGACAGGTTAGGCAACTTGGCAAAAGGCACACAAATAGGGGGTCAGGAAAGCCAAGATTCCGATCCAGATGTGCTGGCTCCAGCATTCTGAGTAGTGAAGAGGTGACAGAGGGGGAAATATCTAAAGGATCATGTTGGAAGAACAGGTCTGATTGGATGGTAAGGTCAGGAGCAGAGTGAGGGATGAGGGAAGCCTCATGTTTCCCAGGCAGGGCCTGCTACCTAATTTGTGGAACTCAATGAAGAATGCAAGTGCTGAGTACTTTGTTCCAAATGTATTAAGAATTTCAAGACAGTGCTGGCAGAGTGTAAACCAAGCATGGGGCCCATCTAAGCTTGGGGCCTGGTGTAACTGCCTCGTTGGGATTATCAAGCAGCTCAGTCAAGACAATCATAATGACGACCACCATTCACACTGCCCTTCTCTGCACCCAGAGCTGTGATAAGCTATCAGTCCACATTACTCTCACATGGTCAGGGTGCTATGACCCCATTTACAGCTGAGGCAACTGGGGCCAAGCGGGGCACGCAGAGCTCAGAGCATGTGGGAAGGCTCAGGGGAGGCTGGAGGCTGATAACCAGCTGCTTTTCCTTTGCCTGCAAAAGCCCCACACCTGGTATAATGTTCTCAGTCCCCAGATGAGACCACAGTTCACAGCTGCCCAGAAGCAGCCTGCCCCAATTCAAAACTCTATCGGGATTTGAGAGAACAAAAAGGAAAATACTAAACAGCCAGACTGGCCCCTACTCTGAGGAAACAAGCAGGGAGAGAGGAAAAGCCCAAACAGCTGGCAGAACATAAAGGCAGCCCATGCAGGAAAGGCCCCACCAACTCCTGGGCACCTTCTGCCTGGAGACCATGTCCCCCAGGGACAAATCCCTGCCCTAGAGGAGTTTATGCTCCAGTGGGTCGTGGGAGGGGAGGTGCAATGACAACTATAACATTGACAACGGAAAATATTTATTTAGTGCTCGCTCTGTGCCAACCTTGCTCTAACTCACCTAATTTTCATGCCATGTGAAGTAGGTGGTATTATTTTCCTCATTCAGGAGGAAATGAAGGCACAGAGAGGTTAAGTGACTTACTCAAAGTCATACAGCTGGTAGATGGTAGAGCCAGGATTTGAACCCAGAAGCTGAAAACTTCTCCATCCCCATGCTGAGGACTCACACGCATTCCTCCTGCAAGAGATAAGGTTTACCCAGTTTACAGATCAGGGTGTGGAGGCCCAGAGAGGCACAGCTGCCCACCCTAGGTCTCGTGGCCAGCTGTCGGGGAGCGAGATCTAGGGTTAGCCTCCTGGCACTCCAACCTCCTCTCCCCACTGCCTCCTCTCCACATCCCCACTCCAGCAGCCCCAGGACAATCTGCCCCAGGACATGACAACTTCTCATTACTGTTACAAGCAACCAAGCCAGGGCCATCCTGGGGCATACCACTTTCCCCTGGCCCTGAGGGAGAAGAGAGGACAGGAAGCAACTCCCAGCTGGGTTGCTCACTTGCCCCACCTTGGAAGGATTTTCTGTGTCTCCAGAGGCAAAGTGGATTCGCTGGGCCCTCCCCAGCCTCACCCCTCTGCCTCCTCCCCTCCCTCTGCTCTCTCCGGGGGTCACTTGTACTCCAAGCGCTAACATGGAACCAGAGGGAGGAAGGTGCAGCGGGGAGAGAAGGGGATGGCAGCGGGACTGAAACTTGAGATCTTAGACTTGGGGGGCAGGGGATGGGGGTGGAGGGAAAGAGGGAGACCAAGACAGAGACAGGAAGGGAGAGTTAAGTTGCATTTGGTTTTCCAAAGCGGGCAGCATTGGAGCTTGGCGTTTGTGTGTACATGAATGTGTGTGCGTGTCAGCGTGCGTGTGAGTGTGTGCTCGTGAGTGTGTGCATGAGTGTGTGCGCGTGTCTGTGTGCTGTTTTCTTCCCTCCCCTCCAGCAGGGAAGCCAGGCCTCACTGGATAATCAGAGGGCTCAGAGGTGAGGCAGACAGAGCAAGGTTGGTGCACGCTTAGGGTAAGGGCGACGTGCCACCAAGACTGAGGAAGGAGGAAGGGAAGGAGTGAAGAATAGAGGTGAGAGGGTGTCGGGTGGGGCCGGAGGGAGGCGGTGAGAGGAAGCAAGCAGAGCAGCCGTGGTATTCAGAGCAAGTATAAATAGCTGCCTGGACAGAGCTCGGCCAGACAGAGGTTTGTAGCTGCAGCTGCAGGCAAGCCTGGCCACTGTTGGCTGCAGCAGGACATCCCAGGCACAGCCCCTAGGGCTCTGAGCAGACATCCCTCGCCATTGACACATCTTCAGATGCTCTCCCAGCTAGCCATGCTGCAGGGCAGCCTCCTCCTTGTGGTTGCCACCATGTCTGTGGCTCAACAGACAAGGCAGGAGGCGGATAGGGGCTGCGAGACACTTGTAGTCCAGCACGGCCACTGTAGCTACACCTTCTTGCTGCCCAAGTCTGAGCCCTGCCCTCCGGGGCCTGAGGTCTCCAGGGACTCCAACACCCTCCAGAGAGAATCACTGGCCAACCCACTGCACCTGGGGAAGTTGCCCACCCAGCAGGTGAAACAGCTGGAGCAGGCACTGCAGAACAACACGCAGTGGCTGAAGAAGGTACGGGGCATGGGAGGTTTGCAGGGGGCAGAGGGCGGCTTTGGGGTCTGTCACAATCAGCAGGTGGAGTGTCCATCCAAGAGGCCTTCCCTGAGCACAGAGGGCTGTCTCTGAGCTGCACAAAGAGGGGCAGGGGTGGGTCTGAGGCCACACAGCAAGATTGGGCAATGTCAGCTGGCAACCTGGCTCTTTAACTGCCGTCCCTTCATTCATCCAACAGAAATCCATTCAGCCCTGACCAAGGGCTGAACGGACCAAGCCTTCCTGGGTGCTGGGGATACGACAGTATAGTATGTCTCCCTCTGGACTAGTAGGGGAAAGAGGCAGTAAGAGATAATCTACTATGTCAGATGGTGAAGCAAAATGAAGAAGAAAGAGGGCAAGTGGCGGCCCTGGGTGGCTGCTTGAGGTCAGATCATTAGAGAGTACTTCTCAGAGGAGGTGACATTTGAACCCAGAGAACAAGGGAAATGATAGAGTGGGCCAGGCAGGTATTTGAGGGAACGTTCTGCAAAGGGAGCTGCATGTATTTTGACCGTGAGGAGGGAATGCATCCGCAGCGGTGTGTGCCTGGAGAACCATGGGGCGAAGGCCTGTGTAGCTGGAGCAGAGGAGAGGGAGCAAGGGTGCGGGGAGGTCTGAGAGGTGACAGCAGGGCAGGCCATGCAGCTGGGGGGGGGGCCACTGGAAGGACTTCAGCTTTTGTTCTGAGTGTCATGGGAGCCACTGCAAGGTTGTGAGCAGAGACAGACACCCGTGATTCGATTTCAACAGCATAGACTGTAGGAGGCAGGGTGGAAGGAAGAAGCCCAAAGAGGTGGCCGCTGCAGCCATCAGGTGCAAGGTACCGGAGGCCTGGAGCAGAACGGGGCTAGGAGGGGGTGTGGCCAGTAAGATTCTGGTGGGTTCTGGAGGTAGAGCCCATCAGCTCTGCTGGTGAATTGGATGCGGAGTGGGAGGAAGCAAGGAGCTGAGGATGCCACTGTGGTTTTGGCCCAAGACCAGGGCTGCTGTAGAATGCCCTGTCATGCTTTCGTCTTTCAGCAGTGTGAGCACCTATTGTGTACCCTCGGAGAAGCACTGACTACAGAGGTGTGCAAAGCAGGCTTGGCCCTGGCGGGGCATGAGGGTACAGGAGACATCCTGGGGGGTCTGAGATGGGACTCTTCAGAGTCCCTAAGTGAGAGCTACCAAGGAAAGGGAGAGGGACCCAGGAGACAGTCTGGGCGATGACTGAGGAATGAAGGATGCGAACTAATTCCTGGAGTTTTAGAAGGTATTAAACAGCAGACAAGCTTGACAACCACCTCTGGCTCCAGGCAGGATAGCTGTCCTGGCTGCCCCCCTGGCTCCCTGCTAACACTCGGCCCCCACCTCCTGTTCTCCATGCAGCAGACCAAAGAATCCCCATCAAAACCTAAGTTACATCCTCTCCCTCCTCCCAGGGCTAACCATGCATCCGAATAAAAGCAAGAACCCTTACTCCCTGGAGTTCCCTCTCCCAGACTCCCACTTTGCTTACCCCAGCCTCCTATCCTCTCCAGCGCCATCTCCCCAGAGGCCCTCCTTGTCCTCCCCGTACGAAATAACCACCTTCCTCTTCCACCCTTTGTCCCTCTGCTGGCTTTGTTGTGTTTTTTTTTCTTAGAACTTATCCCTACCTAATGTTCTTAAAAACATTTCTTTTGGTGTGTGAGCTCCCAGAGGGCAGGCGCCATGTCTCTTTTGCTCACTTCTGGGTTCCCAGGGCCTAGAATAGTGCCGAACACACAGTAGGTACTCAATAAATGTCTGTAGCATGAGTGAATGCATGAATGCATAAATGTCCTTCCAATCTCTCAGGTCCCAGGTCTCCATCCTGCTCCGTGATGACACAAAATTGGCATTGATGGGATCCTGAGCCCAAAACCCATGACCTGGATCTCCCCCAACACCTCCCTGAGGGTCCATGGGTGTCTCAACTCCAAAGCTGCCTGAGACGACTCCCTGCTCTTCTCCAAACACCCTCCTCCTGCCTGTCTGTCTCTGTTTAGGGTGACACCACCACCCAGCCACAGGCTGTGCCCTGGGGGCTTCCTGTGGCTCCCACCTATCCCCCAGGCAGCTGGCCCAGCCCATCCTGTGGCCTAGGCTTCTCTCATGGTCCATCTTTCTGGCTTAGGCCTCGTCATCTTTCCCAGGATGCTGTCATCACCTCCCACTGGGCCTCCTACCCCAAGTCTCACCTCTCACTCTCATCCATCTTTGAATCCCCTGGGTGTCGGATGCTTGGGAAACATTGGCTGAGAGCTGATGGCTTGAACTGATGGCTTGCAGGATCAGAAGGTCACCTGGTCCAGTGCCTCAGCTTGGGGTGGAATGTCCTCTCCAGGCATCCATTCACCTAGCCTGAAAATTCTGAGCTAGGGTCAGTCAGGTCACCGTAGAGTGCCGTAGGGCCTAAGATCTCTGATATGGGAGTTCAGCTGACCTGGCTGCAGGTACTTCCTTACCAAATGGCTACAGATGAGCAGGTTTCGGTCTCCCTTGGTTCATGTAAACAATAATTTCTCTCTGCCCCCTCTGACACTCCTGGTCCCCAGTGGGGAGTGCTTGCTACCTTCTGTGGCTGTGGCTGTGACCTTCCTCTGGTTCTTCTCTTGGTCCAGGCATATCTCAGATCTTCTGAAACTCAAAGCCTTTTTTTGGCTTTTTCTCTAACATCTCAGAAAAGTTAAAAAAAGAGTTTTAAAATACTCATCTAATGGCACCATCAGCATCATCATCACCATCATCACCATTGCCATTAGGGATGAACAAGCTCTCAGCAAGATTCTGTTCATCTAGACAGACACAGGGGAGATCCTTCCTGTCGCGAATCCCAGAAGCCATCATCTGCTCAGCCTGTGCCCCCAACTCCCCTCCTGTTCCCCCAGTGTACAGGTGAGGAAACAGGCCAGAGAGGGAAAGTGACTTGCCAGAGCCATGTAGCAGTGAAAGCCAATCTGGATTCTCACTACAAACTGCAGGTACTTTTTCCTGACTCTGGAAGGTGTCAAGGAGGCAAGGGAAGCAAGATCTAGAGAGGATGGGATGCTCTTGGTGCTCCCTTCTACTGCAGAGTTTCCAAGTCCCCAGATACGCACTCTTTCCTAGCATACAGCTTGCTGTGTCCTACTGCCAGTGCTCATCAGGCATGGGGAGAGCCCCGGCCTCACCTCTTCTCTCTCTCTCCTCTTTCATACTCTCCTCCTCCCCTGCACTCCCCTTCCCTTTCTTCTCCCTGCTCTCCCCCTCCTTCTGCCTCCCTCTCTCTCCTCCTCCTCGCTCCTGGAAAGCCCCTGCCCCAGTAACTCCCATCTGGAGCCAGCTCCTGGGGCTGCACGTCAGCTCTGGGCTCTGCTCCACCCCGCTCATATGGATGAGAAGCTGCAGGCAGGAATATTGAGGAGGTTGGGGGACAGAGCCGGCTGCAGTGCAGGCATCTCTAGCTGGGCTGGGCAGCTCAGTGGCTAGTCACATGACCTCCTCTGTCCACCATGCCCTCCCTCTAGGACCCAGTGCTGGCCCTTCCCTCTCAGTGCCTAATCCGGAGGCTGGGAGGAGAATGACAGCACCTACCCCTGACCTTTGATGTGGGGTCAAGAGAAGCAGAGCAGAGAAAGCCTCTGCACACAGCAGGTGCTCAATAAGGGCTCCCGTGTGTGACTGCCATTCCCCCAGTTGCCCCAGGTGTCCCATCCAAGAAGTGCCATACTCTGCCTTCTCTTCATGGCCCCACAGAATGATCCATTATACAGATGAGGAGAATGAGGAAAACCAGGGCCAGACACAAGCCCCAGCCTCTCTGGCCCACCCCCACCACCTGAGGGCAGCACATCTTCCCCAGTCTCTGAGCTCCCAGAGGCAGGGCTGACCCCACCTGGAAACTGCAGGTGAGAACTACTTTCTCACCTTTAGGGAGCAGCCAGCAGCTGCTGGCCTGGGGTCCATGGCAGCCCTCTCTCTGCCTATCTCCCTGTCTATCTCTGTCTGTCTCTGTCTCTTTCTCCCTCTCTCTGTCTCTCTCTCCCTCTCTCTGTCCCTCTCTCCCTCTCTCTGTCTCTCTCCTAAAGACAAGGTCTGACTCTCTCAACCACACTGGGGTGCAATGGTGCAATCACAGCTCACTGCAGCCTTGAACTCCTGAGCTCAAGCGATCCTCCCGCCTCAGTCTTCCAAGTAGCTGGGACGGCGGACACGAGCCACTGTGGTCAGCCTGTCTCTATTTCTGAGTCTCTCTGCCTCTGTGGATCTCTCCTGGGGCTCTCGCGGTGGCCCTGACTCACTGTTGCTAACTCTGTGGGTGTCTCTGTCTCTGATTCTCTCTCCTGGTTGGCTATCAAAGTGACTCCCTGCATCTTTTCCTGTCTCTTTCTCAGCTCCTCCTTTTCTCACCCCAAGGCCATCCCTCCCACCTCTACCTCCCCGAGTGTCCACACTGAAGACCCAGGGCACATCTGCCAAATGACCAATGCCCACCCTGCAGCTGGCTGCTCAGCCGAGGCCTCTTTCTCTTCCTCCTCTGCACCCAAAGCCAAGCAGAGAGGGGTCAGGGGCTGGGCAGGGGCCTCCCAACCTGGCACTGCCCCAGCCTCTGCTGTTTGCTCCAGGTCTCTGACATCAAACCTCAGAATAACTGGGCCCCTCGGCCTGGCAGTTGTGAGGCCCTGCCTAACTGGGTGTGGGTCAAGAGAGCACCAAGGAGGAACCCAGGGTGGGGTCCTTGCCCAGCCTGAGACCCTCCCAAACTGACCTGGTTTGGGAGTCAGGGTTCCAGTTGCCCCAGCCTTCCCAGGCTGCCCACAAATTCTTGGCATTTTCAGCCTTCAGTTATCCAAACAAGAAATGAGTCTCGGTGCCGAACAAAATATCTTGGGGTTTGATTTCCTAACCTCACTGCTGGCTCCTTTCTAAGCAGTTTGGGACTGGGGGATGGGGGAAACAGCATCTGCTTCTTAGAGGAATGGGATGATTTTTCCAAGAAGGGGGCCTGGAAACAGCTGGCACAGATACCCTCGGCCTGGGGATGACCAGCTGGCTCATGCCTGGGATGAGGTGGGGGTGCAGGGCAGGCACCAGCAGCAGCAGACCCCCTGACGACTTCCCCCAAAAGGACGGGTTTATTTGTTCAACTGGCTTGGCCAGCCATCCCACAGAGGGCAGGGCCACATGTTTCTAGTTCTCTCCTCCCTGGCCTTAGAGCTCAGCCAGGCTGGGATGTACACAGACCTTCTTCTCCTTCTCCTTGGGCAGGAAATGTTAGAAAACGGGCCCCAGGTCTGCCCCCTAAGCCTGCACCTCCAGTCAGACTCTGGCCGCAGTTTGTTTGCATAACCTCAGAGCCAGCTCTGAAATGTCAGGAATGAACCCTGAGAGTTGGCTGTGGGGTCTGGGGAGGACCAAGTTGGGGTCAGGAGGTCAAGTCCCAGGGGTACCACTCAAAGCTATGGGAACCCGGGGAAGCCACATATATCAATTGGCTCCTCTCTAAAGTGGAACTCAAAATACTCGTGCCTCCCAGAATGAGTGGAGGATGAAAAAGCAGTTATGACGTAATGAGTAAGCACTCATTTAGTGAGCATTTACTGTATGCCACACACTGTCCTAGGTGCTTTATGTTACGGCATTTAATTCTCACCATGACCCAGTGAAGTAAGATTGCTTGTCCACTAACAGATGAGGAAACTGAGGCACCAAGAGATTAGGTGACTTGCCCAAGATCTTACAGCCAAGAAGGGCAAAGTCAGATTCAGCCATCTGATGCCGGAACCTATTATCTCAGAACTTAAGCCAGTTTTCTGTCCAATAAATAAGCCATGTCCATGGTGGATGGGTCCCTGGGCATTAGCTGGGACCTGGAAAATATAGAGGACCCTGGTCCCCAAAGGGGAGATCCATAGCTACTAGATTTTTCTTCCCCCAGGAACCCTTGGCCCAAGGCTCCCTAGGGCTTTTCTGCCAGGGATGATTCAGGTAGGGCCTCAGGCAGCTGTGGCCGTTCTGAAAAGCTAAGGGGCTCCAGAAGCTCAGTCTGGGTGTCCCCACAATTACACACCCCATTCTTGGCCCAGGGCCTGGGGGCAAATCCCACAGAAGCCGAGTGTAGGCCCTGAGTCCCAGTTGACTCAGTCTGAATCCCAGCTCCACTGCTTACTGGCTGTGCCTTCTCAGACCATTGCTTTTCCACTCTGTGACTCGGTTTCCTTATCTGTGAAGTGAGGACACTAACAGAAGCTACTTTGCAGGTTATTGAGGAGATTAAATGAGGCAATGCACATGTGGGGCTCAGTACAGGGCCTGGCAGAGAGTAAGTGCTCAGTAAACGTCAAGACTCCAGGATTCACGGTGCAAGGAAGGAATCCTGTCGTACCATCCATATCTTACTATAGTTTCCTTTTGTTCCCTCAACTTTACATCTGTGAGATTATTAGCTGTGTAACTATGAGAAAGACCTGAGCTTCAGTTTTTCAATCTATAAAATTGAGGTGATGATACACACATCGCCTGGGTTTGCTGTGAGGCTCAAATGGCTGGTCAGGGGATGTGCCTGGCACTGCTCCAGCACAGAGAACCAGGAGATGCTACTATTGTTTCCTCTGTCTTCTGGGATAAGTGCTTTGCTGGGGTGAATTCACATATGGGACTTTCTCTGGGCCAGGCACTTTATATGTGTCTTATAAACATTGACTCATAAACCTCGTGGCATCCTAAAAGGTGGGGACTGTTATGATCCCCATTTATTGCGGGGAAACGGAGGCCCAGGGAGTTTACACAGCTAAGAAGTGAGGGAGGTGAGTTCGTACCCGGGCAGACTGGCTCCAGAACCCACAGTCTTAACCACTACACAGACCACCTCTCTGTGCCCACCATTTACAGATGGGAACACTAAGCCTGGGCAAGGGAGTGACTCAATCACATTCACCCAAGGGTCGGTGGCAGGAGTTGGCCCAGAACCCAGGGTTCCTGACACCCAGCTGAGACCCCTGTTTCTCCTCTCCAGAGGCAACAAGATACATAGCATGCCATAAATGTCATGAAAAAATCATGCATCCTTTCAATTCTGGGACTATGTGTAGATGTGCAACCCCCGACTCCTGCCCCCCACCACACACAAACACAAATGTGTATACACAACTCTGAACTTAGTTTGTCAGGTAAGAATATTCATTCCTGCATTCATTTAATTGTCCCTTCCACCACTGTTTATTGAGGGCTTACAATGCGCCAGGCGCCATGCAAGTGACAAGGATTTAGTAGTGAGCAAGGAAGACCATCCTTCCCCCTTGCCCCTGGAGCAGTGGGTGTAACTAACCTAGTGATTTCCCATGTGCAACGATCAATCATGATATGTGCCATGAAGGAGGGACCGAGAGATGCTAGGGGTGGATAATGGGTGCCTGACCTTGAGGGAGGGAGGCACTAGGAAGAAGGACAGAGCTGAGATCTAAAGGCTGGGTTGGCAGTGGCGAGACAGGGAAAGGAAGCAAAAGCATTCCAGGCACACGGGACAGCAAGTGCAAAGGCCCTGGGGGTAGAATGGGCCAAAAGCAAAAGGCATTCAGTGTGTCTACAGTGCAGAGAGCGAGGAGAGCATGGCCAAGATGAGACTGGAGTGCTCACCAGGAGCCAGACAGATGTCCCTGGTCCTGACCCTGTTCTCCGTGGAGGACCATGGAGACTGGGAAGAGATGTGGCCACTTTTCTGTCCTGTCCTCACTGAGGATCATTCTCTGATAGACTGTGGACCTCTGAGCCAGCTTCCACCATCTTTGTCTGACCCTAATCTTATCCCTGTCACCCCATCTGCAGGATCAGCCTCAGCCACCAAGAAGGCAAGACAGGCACATAGAAAGAGCTCAGCCATTAAGTTAAAAATCTTCCTTTACCAGCTGTGAGTAATGCTCGGCCTTTGTGGGCCTTAGTTTACTCATTTGTGTGGGGAACAATCACCCTTTTCCTCCAGGCTGCTGGGGATCCAATAAGAGAAGAGGTACACACTGGAGTCGTACAGGCAGAAAGGCCTGGTGCCACGTGGGGAGATACCCCAGCAAAGCCTCCCTGTGTCTAGAACATACTTTGCCCTATTTTCCCAAAGTTGAGGTGAGGTTGGGGGGTGGGCAGGGGCGCTGTCACATGATCACTCTAGCCAAGAGGCCTTGCAGAAGCACCGCCTGGTTACACCTGTGAAGAGCTACCTGTCCTTGGACAAGTTGTTTAACCTCTCTGTGCCTCGTCTGTAAAATAGGTCGATAACAGGTCCTACCTTGGAGGGTGGCTGCAAGGACTTCATATACCTAGTGGTTAGAACAGTGCTGACCACATAATAACTGTTCAATAAGCATGTTGCCAAGCAAAATGGACACACCTCTCCATTCTGTGACTTTCAAGTGTCAGGGAGGTGAGCGATCGCAAACACCTCCCAAGATCAAGGTTGAAATATAGACGACCACCAAAGGCATACCTGAGCCTGAGGAGGCAGGGACCCTGGCAGCCCCTCCCAAGTCCAGATGGCAGAGGCAGGCCCTGCTCCCCTCCCTCTGCAGCCCTTTCCGCCACACTCCTCATCTTCTCCTTGTGGCCTTTCACCTGGGATGAACACTGGACCTGCCACCCCATGAAAGGTGAGGCTCAGGAGCCAGGGAAGTCCCAAATATTCCACAAATATGGGAGGCACTACTGTGTGCCAGGCACTGTGCTAGGCCTCATGAACCAGACAGACAAGAATCCTAGCCCAGATCCACAGAACACAGGTCCCAGTGGCCATTTCCCTATTCCTTCCAGGCGCTCTGCAAGGAGGAAACAATGAGGCCACTGAGGTTCAGAGAAACTCATCACTGGCAGAGAAAGGAAATGGCAAAGCTATTGAGCAAGCTTGCTGACTCTCAGTGCAGTGCTCCAGGCCCAGACCACACTGGATGTTTGGAGACGCTGGGCCTGTGTCAAAGAATTGAGGGTTGAGCTAGGGTTGAGAAGCTCATCCCTCCGTGAGAGCCCGTTGGTCCCCAAGTCTCTCTACCCCTGGCTCTCAGCCCACTGGCTGTGCTTGCCCAGAGCCTGACCCAGAAGAAAAGCAATAGTATGTCTTGCAGAGAGGAAAACAATGAGGAAGGCTTGGGCCCAGCTGCTCAGACAGGACAAGACAAACCATTTCAGTCTGCATTGAGCCACAGGGTGAGGGCCTGGTGCAGGCCCAGGGGACAGAAGCAAGGCAGAGGAGGAGGGGCCAACCCTCATAAATCACAAGTCAGCCCATTGTCAAAATGAGGAAACTGAGGCCTGGGGATGGCAGAGAAGAGAAGCAAGAGGGTTAAACCTCTATAAGCTCTGGAAAAGCAGTATATTAGTTATCTATTGTGGCATAACAAATTACCCTAAAACATTTAGCAGCTTAAAATAACAACAAACATTTCTTATCTTTCATAGTTTCTGAGGGTCAGGAATTCTGAAGCAACTTAACAAGGTAGTTCCGACTTGGGGTTTTTTTCATGTGGTTGCACTCAGGTATCAGCTAGGGCTGCACTCATCTGAAGGCTTGACCTGGGCTGGGGCTCGGCCTCCTGTGGCTGGTGAGCTGGCGCTGGCTGTGAGTAGAAGGCCTCAGTTCCCCTCCAGATGGCTTCCTCCCAAGGGCTGCTTAAGGGTCCTCAGGCCATAGTGGCCTACTTCCTCTAAAGCGTGTGGTCCAAGAGAGGGCAAGACAGAAGACACAATGCAATGGTTTAGCCAAGGAAGTCACACTAACGTTTCTACAATATCTAATTAGTCATGCCAGCCAGTCCTGACTTGTTGAGAGAGGGGACTACACAAGGGCATGAGCACCAGGATCCCTGGGGTCATCCTGAAGGCTAGCTGCCACAAGCAGCCCACCGAGTGGCTAAGGGTGTGGTCTCTGGAGACCAAAGGCCTATATTTAAATCCAGTCTTTGCCACTTAGGCAAGATGCTCATCTTCTCAATGCCTTCCTTTCCTCATCTGTAAAATGGTGACAATGGGAGCACCAAGGACTAAATGAGCTGTATTTGTAGGGCCTTGGGGTCATGCCTGGGACAGAGTAGCCCTTTAGATATCTTCCTTGGGAGACCGCAGCAGCAGTGCAGAGCCTGGCCTGTTCTGGTAGCTGCTCTATCCCCAGCACCATGCCCAGGTCTCGGCACATCTGAATGAGTTGGTTGGAGGAAGGAAATGAGCACCAAGACTATGTCTTGTTCATTTCTAGAACATTCCTCCTGCAGATACCCCAAGCTGACTCCCTCCCTTGCCATGGGCCTCCCTCCTGGGAACCCTCCTTCCTGCCCCTCCCATCTCTGTGCTGGTGTTTCTTCCCCTTTCTTTCTGCCCTGGCACCAGTTAGCTCTCTGTTCTCTGGTCTCTGTGGTCTCCACTGCCTTTGCCTCTCACAGGCTCCAGCAGTGGCTGGGCCTGGGCTCGAGGCTCCTAACTTGCTTCTAGCTGCCAAACAACTATTCAGTGGAAATCTCGTGCCCCTTACACAAAACTGACCCATCTGCTCTTTCCACAAATATTTATCGAGGACCTCTCATATGCCTAGCCCTATTCTAGGCATAGAGGATGTGCTCATGAACAGGGCAGACAAACCTCTGCACTCCTGGGGCTCTTCTCGTGGGGGAATTGGACAAATGACAAATGACTAAAGTGATTTCAGATGGCATGAAGTACTGTGTAGAAGCCAGAGTGCACACTGTGATAAACAGGTGGAGTAGAGTGGGGGTGGTCAGGGAATGCTTCTCAGAGGAGGTGACATTTTCAGGGAGACCTAGAAGTCAGAAGGAAGCTGGTGGGAGATGCTTTGGTGCTACTGAGATTGGGAGGTGTGGATGCGTATTGGGAGGGGGTGCAATAAGCAACTCTGTGGCTCCTGTGGCCACCTCTGCAGACCCTAGGGCCTCTCCTCCAAAGGGGCAGAAACCACTAGGCATAACCTCTGCCAAGGGCAGTTTGTTAACGATAGTCAAAATCACAACTGTTTTGGGAGGCTGAGGTGAGGTGGGAGGATCACTCGAGCTCAGGAGTTTGAGACCAGCCTGAGGCAACAAAGCAAGACCCTGGTCTCTACAAAAAAATACTGAAAAATTGGCTGGGCCTGGTGGCACATGCCTATAGTCCCAGATACTTGGGAGGCTGAGGTGGGAAGATCGCTTGAGCCTGGGAATTCAAGGCTGCAGTGAGCCATGATCACACCATTGCACTCCAGCCTGGGTGATAAAGCAAGACTCTGCCTCAAAAAACAAAGGACCAAAAAAACGTGTGATTTCACTCTACTTTGAAGCAATTCTACTTCAGAGGATTTATTCCCCACATAGACTTGTGGGAATGTTAAGTGACAGGTGTACAAGGATATTTGTAGCAGCCCTGTTTTTGATGTTAAAGCCTGGAAACATCCTACAGGCCCAGCTAGAGGGGACTAGATGAGCAAACAATGGAGGCCCATAGATGGAATTTCAAGCAGCTTACAATGCTGAGGCAAGTCTACCTGGATGAATGTGGAACATGCTATGAACAATGTTAAGCAAAAGGAAGCCAGGTGTGGAATGGCAAGCTGAGGTTTTTGTAGCCTGAAGGGCAGGTGGTGGGATGGAAACACAGTTACTGCAGATGTAGAAGTATGCATAGCGTTTCTCTGGAAGGAAACCCAGGAACCTCCCTCAGTGGCCTGTAGGGAGGGAACTGTGGGTTGAGGCAGGGACAGAAAAATTTGTTTTTCACTTCACTCCTTTTTGTTCCTTGGAATTTTGAACAATGTGTTTATATCACCCATTCGAAAAATAAAATTACAAAGATTTACATTTAAGTTGAAACACACACACACAGCTAGGTAAGATCTGACCCTCCAGATTTTCATACGTCTGCACCAGATCTGGCCATTAGCTCCTGTGTACAGCCTCTGGCACTTTATTTTCCTGATTGGGACCTCAGTTTTCCCATCTGTGAAATGGAGGGGATGGGAGCTGAGAGGTCCCTGAGAGCATCATTTAGGTCTCCCCCTCACTAAGTCTTTGCTCCCCAGATGTCTCCCTGCCTGGGCTCCTACCCCTGGGGCATCCCTGCTAAAGCCCGTTTCCTTTTACCGTCAGGCCGGGCTCAAATCTCCACACCCTGCACCACCCCAGCCATGGGGCTTTGGTTCAGCCTAGGACCTAGAACAGGCTTCATCCCAATTCCCACACCATCCCAGTACAGCCTGGTTTGGACTCTGTTCACTGGGGACTGTTTTACCTGTTTCCAAAGCAAAGAATTTTGTTCTTCACTAAAGGAATCTGCAAGGAGTCCTGGTCCTCTCTAAGCCACACGGGACCCAAGGCAGGGTTTAGAGCAGAGGGGGTCATAATCTGACAGGTTGACCAGGACGTCACTGGCTATGTGTGGAGCATAGCCTGGGGGCCCAGGGAGCAATGACAGATGCTGACAGTATCAAGGAAGCTTTGATCCCTGCTAGAGACAATGGGGGCTGGGACTGGGGTGGAAGTGGCAAGGTTGGGCAGAAGTGGTCAGATTCTGCATGCGCCCGAGGGTAGAGACAACAGATTGGATGCAGGATGTGAGAGAGACAAAGGAAAGCAGGGCAGCTCTGAGAGGCTGGGTCTGAACAACTAGAAGGGTAAGTTTCCTTAATGCCACCCCCATTCACAGAAACCTTGGTGCTTTGGGTCTGGTTCTGGAACAAGTCTGGGCAGAGACCCAGGAACTGGGTCAACAGGCAGAAGCCAGCAGCAGGGTTCACCCCATCCTCTGGGCTCACTGGCTGCAAGGCTAAAGCCTGGGTCGTACCCTGGGTGAGGGAAGCACCACTTTCACCCGCCCAGCCCCCGCCTTGACCCTCTTACACCCACAAGACCTGACCTCCCAGCCTTCCAAATCAGTAGACATGAGGAGGAATCTAGCATCTGCAACTTGATGGGTGACCTCAGGGAAGTGACTCTGAGCCTGAACCTCCATTTGCCCATCTATAATTGGGGTCAACAGCAGAGCCTACAAATATCCAGACAGTCTTCCAGGCCCCAGAAGGCAGGCAAAGTCCTTGCACTCTCAGAGTTGGTAGCCTACTGGGGACACCAGTGAGGAACCTTGTGTGGGACAGGCCTTCAGGGGTCTTAACCTTTCCTGTACCTTGGGGTCCTTTGGCATCCGGTGACCCTCTCTCAGAAAAAAAAATTTTTTTTTGAAATGTAAAATTAAATGCATAGATTTATAAAGGAAACAAATTGCCTTGAGATGCAAATGTCAACATAACAGAAAACAGGTTTCTGATATAGTCCTATATTATTTCTGTATTAATGCACAAAATAACAAGACTGAGTGGTGGGTCAAGTACCTTCCATAATTTTGAGGCTGAGGTGAGTATACACAATGTGTCGTAGATATCCGCAATCACTGCAATGAGATATTAGAGTATCTGCGGTTTCTACTAGTGACAAAGCTGCAGGCCCTGCTATCACCACTGTAATAGCCTGTGGCATATACTCACTACCACAGGAAAAGTTAATATCAGTTAGAGACTAGTGGGAAAAGCATGTCCTTTTTTTTTTAATGCAAGTTTACAGGTTCCTTGAATTCTATTCACAGATCCCTGGGGGTCCAGGACATCAGTTAGGGACTCCTAGTGTTTATATACTAGTTGTTAAATATTCTATTAATTATACCTGTATACACTCTCATTCTACTTTTAAAATCCAAACAATTTCAATATAGGTAATGTAAAAAGAAAACGCCATCACCATCACCCTATTGAAACCCCCTCCCCTGAAGCAAATCGCTACTGTTAATAGTTTGATCTTCTCGGTTTTTGTATAAAAATACATCATTTGGATCATTCTTACACACAAATGGATCCACATTGTATATAGTGTTCTGCCTCTTGGTTTCTTTTTTTACTCATAAGCATGACAGGGACATCTTTTCAGATCAGCATCTGATGTAGCTCAACCTCATTCTTGCTTGTTTGTTTGTTTTGTTTTAAGATAGGGTTTTGCTCTGTCGCCCAGGCTGGAGAGCAGTGGCATGATCAGAGCTCACTGCAACCACCTCCTAGGCTAAAGCCATCCTCCTGCCTCAGCCCCGCAAGTAGCTGAGACTAGAGGCATGCACCACCACCTTCAGCTAATTTTGTTCTGATTTTAGTAGACACAAGGTTTCACCATGTTACCCAGGCTGGTCTCCAAATCCTGAGCTTAAGCGATCCACCCACCTTGGCCTCCCAAAGTCATGGGATTACAGGTGTGAGCCACCATGCCCAGCCATCAACCTCATTGTTTTTAACAGCTACATAGTGTCACGTGCGTCCGTGTGAAGAGACCACCAAACAGGCTTTGTGTGAGCAATAAAGCTTTTTAATCACCTGAGTGCAGGTGGACTGAGTCCGAAAAAGGAGTCAGCAAAGGGAGATGGGGTGGGGCAGTTTTATAGGATTTGGGTAGGTAATGGAAAATTACGTTAAAGGGGGTTGTTCTCTTGTGGGCAGGGGCAGGGGTCACAAGGTGCTCAGTGGGGGAGCTTCTGAGACTCATTGTCCAGGAGAAGGAATGTCACAAGGTAATGTCATCAGTTAAGGCAGGAACCAGCCATTTTCACTTCTTTTGTGGTTCTCCAGTTGCATCAGGCCATCTGGATGTACACGTGCAGGCTTGGGCTCAGAGGCCTGACATTCCTGTCTTCTTATATTAATAAGAAAAACAAAACAAAATAGTGGTGAAGTGTTGGGACAAAACAAAATAGAGGTGAAGTGTTGGGGTGGCGAAAATTTTTGGAGGTGGTATGGAGAGATAATGGGTGATGTTTCTCAGGGCTTCTTCGAGCAGGATTAGGAGCAATGTCGGAACCTAGAGTGGGAGAGAGTAAACTGAAGAAAGATTTTGGGGTAAAGGGTGACATTGTGGGGTTGTTAGAAGGAGCATTTGTCGTATAGAATGATTGGTGATGGCCTGGATGCAGTTTTGTGTGAATTGAGAAACTAAATGGAAGTCACAAGGTCCGAATAAGAGAAGGAGAAAAACAGGTATTAAAGGACCAAGAATTGAGAGGACCTAGGACATCCAATTAGAGAGTGTCCAAGGGGGTTCAGTGTAATTATTTGCTTGACTGGCAAGTTTTTGGGCTCTGTCCTTGAGTTTTTTTATGTTGTCATATACCAGGCCAGATTGATTTAGGTGAAAACAACCTTCTTCATTTGGAAATATTCAGAGTCCTCCTTTTTCAGCAGTGAGTAAGTCAAGGCCTATTCCTGTCTTTTTATATTAATAATAAGAAAAACAAAACAAAATAGTAGTGAACTGTTGGTGTCATGAGGGGAACAGGGAACTCTTCGGTCTCATTTGCAAATTGAATTTTGGGAGTAAGGAAAACTTGTGTGCATGTGCCTGTCCAATTAGCAGGTAGACACATGTAGGTAGAGGATCCACAGAGGAAGAAGAGACCTTGTGCGAGGCAAAACTGGAAATGCAAAGTAAAAAGATGAGAAGGAGTACTAAAGGTTTCTTGTACCCAGACTCCTAGGGATCCAGCTAGGGTGGCAGCCGTCAGAGGTTGTAATGGAGACTGATGGGGTAACTTCCTAGAGGAGGAGGTTCAATTTTCATGGTGCATGAAAAAACGTCGAGTATCTACAAGCAACCATTCACTGTTATTTACAGGGCTGGGTATAAGCAAACAAGAAGAGGGCCTGGGAGGAGAGTCTGAAGAGCAAGGGGAAGGTAGCCAAGGATGGAGTGAAATACAAGGTAAATGTCTTAAAGGAAATGAGAGGTTTTAAGAGGTGGGCTGGTGGCTTGTAACCCACATAGAAGAGGTTATGAAAGGACGATAGAATGGAATGGGCCTGTGAGGCTGGAAGGAGGAATTTTCCTTAGTCCAAGAACCATTTGCCTTGTGTGGGAAGAGATTGATAGGTGGAAGTTTCAGTGGGAGAGTAGGTGGGAGTGATGGAAAGAAAGTAAATCATGAGAAAGGGCTTGACTGAAGTAATAGGGGCTGTCCCTGAAGCCTTGTGGCAGTACAGCCCAGGTAAGTTGCTGAGGCTGATGGGTGTCAGGGTCAGTCCAAGTGAAACCGAAGAGAGGCTGGGATGAAGGATGCAAAGGAATAGTAAAGAAAGCATCTTTGAGATCCAGAACAGATTAATGGGTTGTGGAGGGGCGTATTGAGGATAGGAGAGTATATGGGTTTGGCACCACAGGGTGGATAGGCAAGACAATTTGGTTGATAAGGCGAAGATCTTGGACCAGCCTGTAAGACTTGTCCGGGTTAAAATGTCTTGGCCTAATAAGGGTACTGGGCAGGTGGGGATAATTAAAAAAGAGTGCATAAAAGAATGTTGTCCCAGGCCGGGGGCGGTGGTTCATGCCTGTAATCCCAGCACTTTGGGAGGCCGAGGCGGGCAAATCACGAGGTCAGGAAATCGAGAATATCCTGGCTAACACGGTGAAACCCCGTCTCTACTAAAAAAAAAATACAAAAAAATTAGCTAGGCGTGGTGGCAGGCACCTGTAGTCCCAGCTACTCGGGAGGCTGAGGCAGGAGAATGGCATGAACCTGGGAGATGGAGCTTGCAGTGAGCCGAGATCGCGCCACTGCACTCCAGCCTGGGCAATAGAGAGAGACTCCATCTCAAAAAAAAAAAAAATTTTGTCCCAGTTGGCACCAAAGCTGGGGAGTTTTAAGGAGTCTAGCAGCCTGGCCGTCAATACCCGCAACAGTTATGGAGGCAAGGGAAACAGGCCCTTGAAAAGTAGGTAATGTGGAGTGGGTAGCCTCTGTATTGATTAAAAAGGGGACAGACTTACCCTCCACTGTAAGAGTTACCTAAAGCATCTGTGATGGTCCAGGAGGCTTCTGAGGCAATCAGGCAGTGTCAGTCTTCAGCAGCTAAGAAGAGAAGATCTGGGAAGGAGTCAGTCAGACAGCCTTGGGCCAGATTTCCAGGGGCTCTGGGTGTGGTTGGTGGGCGAGTGGGACAGTTGGATTTCCAGTGGGGTCCCGCAAAGATGGGACACGGCTTAGGAGGAATCCCAGGCTGTGGACATTTCTTGGCCCAGTGGCCAGATTTCCAGCACTTGAAGCAAGATCCTGTGGGAGGAGGTCCTGGAGGAACAACTGTCTGCTGCGGCTTAGGCGTTTTGAAGTTCTTGTGTGCTGGATGTGGCTGGGGTTTCTCTTACAGCAGAGGCGAGTAATTGCAACTCAGAAATATGTTGCCACTTGGCTGCCTCTTCTCTATTATTGTACACCTTGAAGGCAAGGTTCATTAAGTCCTGTTGTGGGGTTTGAGGGCCGGAATCTCATTTTTGGAGCTTTTTCTAATGTTGGGAGCAGATTGGGTAATAAAATACATATTAAGGATAAGGTGGCCTTCTGGCCCCTCTGGGTCTAGGGCTGTGAAGCATCTAATGGTAGCTGCTAAGTGGGCCATGAACGGGGCTGGGTTTTTATATTTGATGAAAAAGAGCCTAAATGCTAACTGATCTGGGAGAGGTCAGATAAAGAAAAAGGAGCATTAACCTTGACTGTGCCTTCAGCTCAAGCCACCTTTTTAAGAGGAAATTTTTGGGCAGGTGAGGAGGGCTAGTTGCAGAACGAAACTGTAAGCCAGACTGGGTGTGAGCAGGGGAGGTGATAGAAGGATTATAGGGTAGGGGAGCAGATGCTGAGGAAGAATTGGGACCTGGCTCAGCCTGGCGAGGAGCAGCGTCAGGGAGGAGGGGAGAGGTCAGATGAGTCCGTAGAAAAGAAGGATTCAAAGGACTCAGAGCTTGGGGTGGAGATGGAAGGAAACAGACAGGAGAGAAAAAAAAAGATTTGGGATGAGTCGCTTTGGGAGCAGAGACTAGGGAGGGACCAATGTGTGAAAGAATGCCTGGACATCAGGCACCTCAGACCATTTGCCCATTTTTTGACAAAAAATCATCCAGGTCTTGTAAGATGGAGAAATCAAAAGTGCTGTTTTCTGGCCATTTAGAACAATTGTCGAGTTTGTACTGGGGCCTAGCAGTATTGCAGAAGAAAATAAGGCATTTAGGTTTTAGTTCAGGTGTGAGTTGAAGAGGTTTTAAGTTCTTGAGAACACAGGCTAAGGGAGAAGAAGGGGGAATGCAGGGTGGAAGGTTGACCACAGTGAAGAGGTAAGTTTAAAGAGAAAGCTAGAGACACGGAGAAGCGGGCGGTGAGCAGCCCTGGGCTGTAATATGGGTGAGCAGCCAAAGCAGGTGTCCCTGCAATTGACATGCCACCAAGGGAATGTGGGTGAATGACCAAGGCAGGTGTCCCCCCGGTGATCAGACACCAATGGAATGTGGGTGAATGATCAGGGCAGGCATCCCTGCAGTGATTAAACACCAAGGGAAGACTGTCTTCCTGAGTCCATGACCGGTGCTGCAGTTTTGGGTCCATGGATAAAATGTGTCTCCTTTGTCTCTACTAGAGAGAAAAAGGAACCCGAATTGGAAGGACAGGGAGATTGAAGGGTAGTGAGAGAGGCTGAAGAAGAGAGTGAAAAGACCGTTTACTCAATTTGAAATTGGTGAGATGTTCCTTGGGCTGTTTGATCTGAGGATCGGAGGTCATAGGTGGATCTCCTCATGGAATGAGGGCAAGGACAGGGGACCGGTCTCCTGAAGGAGTCCTCCTGTCCCGGGTCTTCAGCACCAAATATCATGCACGTCCATGTGAACCAAACAGGCTTTGTGTGAGCAATAAAGCTTTTTAATCACCTGGGTGCAGGTGGACTGAGTCTGAAAAAGGAGATGGGGTGGGCAGTTTTATAGGATTTGGGTAGGTAGTGGAAAATTACAGTTAAAGGGGGTTGTTCTCTGGCGGGCAGGGGCAGGGGTCACAAGGTGCTTGGTGGGGAGCTACGGAGACTTATTGTCCAGGAGAAGGAATGTCACAAGGTAATGTCATCCGTTAAGGCAGGAACCAGCCATTTTCACTTCTTTTGTGGTTCTCCAGTTGCATCAGGCCATCTGGATGTATACGCGCAGGCTTGGGCTCAGAGTCCTGACACATAGTAAGATATGGCCCAGACATACCAGAATTTATCATGCGTTCATTATGTAACTACAACCAGAGTTATCTCAGGAATGCTCCCTACAACCCAGGGGAAGGAGCTATGATTATCTTCATTTTAGAGAAAAGGCTCAGACACCAGTAGAGGCCCCAGCCTAAGGTCACACAGCCAGTAAGCTAAGAGCTGTGATTCACACACAGCTTCATCCATACAAAGCACTACTCTCTCTGCATTGATTTTTATCTGCAGTTGACAAGATGCATTTCCCAAACAGGAACCTCATGCACCATTTTCCATGGAAGAGAGATAGCTGCAGGGCATATCATTGTTACCATCTTCATTTTGATCCTCAAATACCAGACACGCTCCCACTTCAAGGCCTCTGCACTTGCCTTTTCCTCTGCCTGGAATTCCCTCCCTCCTGACTCTCCCAGACCTTGCTTCTTCTCAGCCTCTCAGCCCAGATGGCCCTCTCTGGTGGGGCTTTCTCCATCATACTGGCTAAACTTGCCTCCAACCCCACATATTACCCTGTCTTATTTTCTTCATAGCATTCATCAAGATTTCAATGCAACTGATATATTTAGTAGAAGTGCCCTGGAATCAGAAACTTTACGAATTTTGCTCATTTCTGATTATCTAATACCTAATACAGGATGAGCACATAGTAGGTGCTCAAGAAATAATTCCTGAATGAACACATGAATGAAACTCAGAGAGGGTGAGGGGGTTCACTGGAGGAGATCTATTTAATGTTACATATGTATATCTGCGGCATTTTATAGAACCTTGTGTTGGGGGCGTTGTTTTTTACTGAGGTATGACCCACGTACAGCAAAATCTACCCTTTTCACATATAGTTCCATGAGTTTTGACAGACATATACAGTTATGTAACCACCAGCAAAATCATGACATAGAACATTGCCAATATCCCAAAAAGCTCCCCTGTGTCCTTTAACAATCAATCCCCACCCCCTCCCCGGACCCAGGCCCTGGCAATCACAGATTCTGACATTTTTAGAGAGTCATACAAATAGACTCCTACAGTATGGAACCATTGGAGTTGCATATTTTTCACTCATGATCCATCTGAGGTTCATCTGTGTGTTTGCACACATCAATGGTTCTTTCCTTTTTATTGCTCAATGGAGTCCACTGCATGGATGGACTGCAGTTTCTCCATTCACCAATTGATGTCCATTTTATATAAATAATGCAGGAGAGAAGCAGGCTTGAGCAGATCTCCTCGGCCACGGAGGCTGCTCATCCACGGATCTGCACCTGTTATTTGTCTGAATCACCCCCTCTCCCCCAGCCCCTGCCTGTGAAAATTTCTTTCTTTTCCTTCAAGACCCTTTGCAAATGCCCTCTCCCCAGCAAGGAGCAGGGTGTGCTGACCCATGACCCAGATCTGTAAAGTGGGGCTCAGAGAAACACAGTAGTCTCCAAGGGCCCACAATGAAAGTGTGGCAGAGCCAGAACTCAAACCCAGGGCCAAGGGGATGGGGCAGTAGACCAGGGACCAAAACTCAGTCTCTTTGCCAGCTGGAAGGGTGACAAAAGGTCAGGCCTTTGTACCCCATCATAGGCCTGAGAATTCGGCAGCCTGAGAGTGATGGAGAAGGGGCAGGTCTAATCCTGGAGTCGGTGCACGGCATAGAGAGAAGTAGATCCAAAAAAACAAGAGAAGTAGATCCCACGCTGGGTGAGTTCCTCCACTGGGATCCATTCCCTGCCCTTCCAGCTGGTGCCTCAGCCATGGGCCAGACCTAGCTCCCACCACCCAGGCCAATATTAGTCTCCAGAGCCCAGCCCAGCCTAACTGAGCCCATCTGGCCCAGATTATCCATCCCAGGGCCTGTGCTGGTGGGCGGGTGTGGCAAACTGGGTGATGGGATCCAGCTGTGGGTAACCTTTGCCCTGCCCAGCCACTTGCAACCACAGGACAAGTGGGGGACCAGTGAGGTGCTTGGGGAGCTCCAGTCACTTGAGGGGACCCTGAGCTGCCCTGAATCACCAGCTCAGCTCTGCAGCCCTCAGGCAAGGAGTCTTAGAGCCTAGCCTGCCAGATGGTGACCTTGGGCAAGACTTCTGGGCCTCAGTTTGTCTATGTTCAGGCAAATGAGAAGCTTGGGGAAGATGCCTGGGAAAGTCTCACCTCAGGCATGAATATGCTGTTTGACTACTTGGAGCAGGTGCTCAGTACCTGGATGTCTGCTTTTTAATTTAGGTTCTAGGAGGTCAATGATGCATGAAAAAGTCTGAGACCAAACTCGATACAGCTATATTTGTCCTCATCCATGCTGGTGGGCCCAGCCAGCCACACATTAGAATCTCCTGGGAGCTCACATGCAGTCCATGACTAAGATTTACCACGGACCCCCGGACCAGCCTGCTAGCCCATGCTCTGATGTTAATGACATCGAAGGCACCCCTCCCGAGGAAATCTCAACTGCACCACCCCTACTACTCCCTAATTCAGCAGGAAGCAGTTAGTGCGGTCATCAGCTGACCTCCCCAACAGCACTTGGGTTTTCCTGTTGAGAGGGGGACTGAGAGACAGGGCTAGCTGGATTTCCTAGGCCAACTTAGAATCCCTAAGCCTAGCTGGGAAGGTGACCGCATCCACCTTTAAACACGGGGCTTGCAACTTAGCTCACACCCAACCAATCAGAGAGCTCACTAAAATGCTAATTAGGCAAAAATGGGAGGTAAAGAAATAGCCAATCATCTATTGCCTGAGAGCACAGTGGGAGAGACAAGGATTGGCATATAAACCCAGGCATTCGAGCCAGCAACAGCAACCCCCTTTGGGTCCCCTCCCTTTGTATGGGAGCTCTGTTTTCACTCTATTTCATGCTATTAAATCTTGCAACTGCAAAAAAAAAAAAGAATCTCCTGGGAGCTGACAGAGGGGTTAAAGACAGGAAGGCACAAAAGGCAGACCCATGGAGAGGAGGGCAGCCTGGCCCAGAATAAGGCGAGTAAACAGATTTGAAATCCAAATTGGGATCACAGTGGGCAGTACTTACTAGTGGGTTGAGTGTGGCCGCTAAGAAAAAGAGAAGTTAAGATTGAGGTCTGGGTTTGGGGCTTCAGAACTGGGTGGAGCCATTTCCTGAGATGGGAAAGATTTCGAAGCATGGGGTGGGAGTTACAGGGACAGGGGCGATGGGAGCTGAGGAATGAAGAGTTTCACACTGGGCTTGAGATGCTCATTGGAAACCATGCAGAGATGGCGAGTTGGGGACATGCAGGGGAGAAGTCTGGGTGGGAGATGGTGATGGCTCCATTAGCACAGAGGGATGTGGAAGTCCAAAGACCGATCTCAGCCCCTGGGGCAGGGCCCTGATGCATTTGGATCCTCAGACCTCTTGGCATCTGGTCCTGGTGAAGCTTAATAATCCTTTCTCAGAAATGCATAAAATCAAAGCATAAGAACACTCAGTAATATGGAAATCATAAGCAAAATATGAAAAATAAAATCTGTGATCAGGCATAGCATTATCCAGTGGTGGGTGTGATGTCTATAATTCCAAAGTCCCGGTGAGTAAAAACAATGTTTTAAGATACCGTAAGAGTGTGTTGTGATATGAAAATATTTGGGATTTCTATTGGTAATGACTCTCAGGACCTGCTAGTATGGCTGTGGTTTGTGACCTAGGCTCATAATTGAAGGAAATGCCAAATTTTAATTGCAGATTAGTGGACAAAAAATGTGATCTTTTTTTCTCACTCAAGTTCATGGAGCCTGTGGCTTCTTCATTAAGGACCCCTGACCTAGAGAGTGAATGTACATAGAGACAAGGACCCAGGACTGGGCCATGGGGGCCCTGCCGTGTAGGAGTCTGTAAAGGAGGAGTCAGAGAGTGGGTGGTTAGGGGCTAGGAGGAAACCAGGATTGGGGGGAAGTCGTCCAGCAACAGGGAGTGGCCATCCAGGTGATTGCTCCTGAGATGTCAAGCAAGATGGAGTGTCCCTTGAGGGCAGTGTCAAGGAGGGCTATCTATGACAAGGTGAATTAAAGAGCGAAGGGGGGAACTGCGCGTGGTGGTGCTCGCCTGTCGTCCCAGCTATTTGGGAGGTGGGAGGATTGTTTGAAGCCAGTAGTTTCAGGCTGCAGTGAGCCGTGATCACATCACTGCACTCCAGCCTGGGCAACAGTGAGACGCCAAAAGGCAAAGGGACCTCCCAGGATGGAGAGACATGACTGGAGGTATACAGGAGGATGAGCACTATGGGCTATATTTATTCTCTATACTTTTTTTTTTTTTTTGAGACACGGTCTCACTCTGTTACCCAGGCTGGAGTGCAGTGGTGCATCTCAGCTCACCGCAACCTCCACCTCCCAGGCTCCAGCGATCCTCCTGCCTCAGTCTCCTGGGTAGCTAAGACCACAGGCTTATGCCACCATGGCTGGCTAATTTTTGTATTTTTAGTAGAGATGGAGTTTCACCATGTTGCCCAGGCTGGTCTCAAACTCCTGGGCTCAAATGATCCACTCTCCTTAGCCTTCCAAAGTACTGGGATTATAGGTGTGAGCCACCGCACCTGGCCTCTATGCTTTTTTGTATGTGTGAAACGTAACATCATTTTATTATTAACGTTATGTTGTTGTTGTTGTTTTTTAAGTGAGGGTGGGTATGAAGGTGAGAAAATGGAGACAACTTGTAGAAGTTTTGTGTTGATGAGATCAGAGAAACTGGAGAAGCAGCCAGAGAGGCTGTGGAGTTAGTTTTTAGATGGAAGCTGTTAGCGCATGTTTGTGTGCTGCAGGGAGGGGGTGGGCTGATGATGCAGGGAAAGAAGGAGGGGGGTCTCTCTGGTCTTCAGTCCCTGCTGCTACTCTGCATCAAGGGCTCTCACACTTGAGCAGGCATCTGACTCAGCCAGGGGTGTTGTTAACCACAGTTGGCTGGGCACCATTAAGAGTTTCTGGTTCAGGAGGTCTGCGGTGGGACCTGGAAATTCACATTTTTAATGAGCTCAGCTGATGCTGACGGAAGAACCACACTTGGAGAAACACAGCTCTAACCAGTACTACTACCGCCCACAAGCACCCGCTCCAGGATGTGATAATGGAACTTGCTCCCTTTGAAACACTCCAGGGTGAGGAAGGGATGGGAGTGAACAGTCAAGATGGAAGAAGGGAGAAGAGATGAAGGAGGAAGTGGCTGGAGCCTGGCCCGAGCCAAGGTCACCACCTCTCCTGGGGAGCACCCATCTTCCCAAGGACCCTGAGAGCTGTCCAGCTGGCTTCTGAAAGACTGAGTGAGAGGGCAAGGGAAGGAGCCAGGGACAGGGGTGGGGGGCATGGTGAGAGGCCAGCATGTGTGCCGAATGGAGAGGCAATGGTGGAGGGGAGCTGGCTCTCTGCCTGCAGGCACCGAGCCCTGAGAACACACTGTTCACCTTTACAACAGCATACTGGTGTCATGCCAGACCAGCTCTCCTGCCCTTGGGAAAGAGAGCAGCCCTGTCAAAGAAATGAACATTTGCATGTGGGATCCCAGAACATCAGAGCTGGGAGAACCCTTGGAGACTGGCCAGTCCAGCCCCATTTGGCAGATAGAGGGGATCTGAAGATAGAAAACACAGCTTGGCCAATGGACCTGCAAACTCTTTGTACAAGGGAGAGATGCATTCCCACTCCCTGCTGGCTGACTCACCCTGAGGAAGCTGGTGAAGGGGCATGTGATTGGGCGCTGTGCTCTGACCCTTGCTGTTTCCCCTTTTTCATCAATTCATTGAACGCGCATTTATGAGCACTCACTGTGCACCATGCATTGTGCTAAACATAGAAACAAGGCAGTGAGCAAAACCAAGTCCCTGGCTTCATGGAATTGACATTCTAGAGAGAGAAACAGACAACAGACAGATAAAAAGAGAGATAGTGATTTTAAAAAGTCAGGTGGTGATAAGTGGTATGAAGAAAGCTGAAACAGCATGAGGAGGTGTGCCACGCAGATGCGGATCAGGGTTGGGGGAGGATTCCAGAGGGAACAGTGAGGGAACAGCTGTGGGCACATGCTTGCTTCGTTAGAGGGATGTCATGGAGCCATTGCATCGGGATTGAAGTGAGTGAGGGAGAGGGGAATAGGAGAGGAATGAGAGTGTGGTGGCAGGCCCAGTCACGGAGGAACCTGCAGTCATGGCTTTTCCTCTGCGTGAGATAGGAACCCTGGAAAGATTTTGAGCAAAGGAGGAGTGTGACTTGACTTAGGTTTAGCAGGATCCCTCTGGCTGCCTAGTGGGGGATGGACTGTGCAGGGGACAAAGATGGAAGCAGAGAGGCAGACAAAACAGGCATATAAATCCCTCCCAGGGAAAAATCTACTGGGATAGTCCAGGCAAGACGTAATGGTGGCCTGACCTGGCCCGGCATGTTCTGAGCCAGGGAGGCCTCAAGTGGCTGCTCAGTGCCCTCCCATGGTGACACGTGGGAGGGACAGGGGGCTTCCCCCGCCCCTCCCCCGTGACCCCAGCCCATGGTCTCCCACAGCTAGAGAGGGCCATCAAGACGATCTTGAGGTCGAAGCTGGAGCAGGTCCAGCAGCAAATGGCCCAGAATCAGACGGCCCCCATGCTAGAGCTGGGCACCAGCCTCCTGAACCAGACCACTGCCCAGATCCGCAAGCTGACCGACATGGAGGCTCAGGTAACAGAGGGTGACTGAGTGGGCACTGAGGGCCTGTGGCTGGCCAGGCTGGTTCGTAGCCCCAGTCATCTTACCTTGATCTCTGACCCTGAGTAGGGTCAAGGCCTCCTCTGGGCCTGTAGCCCCCCGGGTCCCTCCTCCCTGATGAACTTGTCATAAAACTATCTCTCTCCAAGCTATGAGCCCTGGGGGGTGGATGCTGGGCTTGGCTTTTCTGCCTCTGTAACTTCAGTGCCTGGGTCTGTGCTGGGCACTGGAATGAGGGGTATAGTAGCACAGCTCCCTTGCCCTCAGAGGACTTACAATGTGCCAGGGGAAGATGGATAAGAAACAATTCACTGGGCCTCTGGGGCCAAGGACTTGGAGAGAAGAGGTATCTGAGCAGCAAAGAGCAGGGAAGGAACTAGTGAATAAATGAAGGGTAGGGAAGTCAGTGGATGAAAAAGTGAATAACAAATAGACACAAGTTTGTGCCCATTTGTTTGTTTGATCCCCCGTGTGCCAGGCACTGCTTGAGAAGACTGGTGTCTAGTATACAGCAGGAAACAAAGCAGGCATACATTCCTACTCCTGTGAAGCTTCCCCTGAAAATGAAAAGATAAGTGACATATATGGTTATGCACTGCTTAATGTTCCAGTCAACAACTTGCCACATAGACAACAGCAGTCCCATAAGAGTATCGTATGCTGTTTTTATTGTACCTTTTCTGTGTTTAGATATGCATACACAAATACTTCCCACTGTGTTATAACTGCCTACAGTATTGGGTGCAGTCACATGCTGTATGGATTTGTAGCTTAGGAGCAATAGGCTGTCTCATATAGCCTAGGTATGCAGGCGGCTATACCATCTAGATTTGTGTAAGTACACACTATGATGTTTGCACAATGACGAAATTGCATGATGACGACTTTCTTACAACATCTTTCCGTCATTAAGCAACACATGTCTGCATATGTTAGCCAGTGACAGCGCTAAGGAGAAAATAGCATGGAAGAGAGAGCAAGAGAGGGGGTGCATTGGGAGTGGTGGGGGGGGATGAGAGCTGCAAGCTCATACAGCAAGGCCAGGAAGGGCCATGGAGAAGGTAGGGCTGCAGCCAGGCTTACTGCAGAGAGTGCTCCAGACAAGGGATGCAGCATGTGCAAAGGCCCGGAGGGAGGATGGACGTGCTGGCAGGTTCAAGAACATCAGGAGACCACTATGCTGGAGTGACCAGGAGGAGAGTGGCAGGCAAGGAGCTGGAGAAGTGATAGGGACAGATCACACCATAGGGCCTTGCAGGCCATGGTGAGAACTGGGGCATTTCCGCTACATGAGATGGGAGCCACAGGAAGCTTTTGAACAGAGCAAACATGTTTTAAGAGGCAGCCCCAGGCTACTGAGTAGAGAATAGATTGCAAGCAATGAGGGAGCAGTCCAGGGCCAGAGTGAGGGCCACAGAGCAGGAGAGAGGTGGTCAGGGGCCACCTGGAAGGCAAGGCTGACAGGACCTGCAGATGAGTTGGATGTGGGGGACAGGGTTGACAGCTCCTGGGGCCTAAGCATCAGGGAGAATGGAGCTGCCATTGCAGTGATGGAGAAAGGCAAATTTAGGAAGCAGGTAATAAGCTTAAGTCAGGGCCTGTGAGTGAGTAACCACAGGAACTACGACTGGGAGAGTGGAAATGGGTAAGTTTCTGGAGTGGCAGGGCCTGTGGGCAGGTGGGTGGTTGGGCAGGGCTCCTGTAGCGCTTACGCAGCCCCCTACCTGCTTCTGCTTGCTGGGGCAGCTCCTGAACCAGACATCAAGAATGGATGCCCAGATGCCAGAGACCTTTCTGTCCACCAACAAGCTGGAGAACCAGCTGCTGCTACAGAGGCAGAAGCTCCAGCAGCTTCAGGGCCAAAACAGGTGGGTGTGGCACCTGGCACCAGACTAGGACAGGGGCTGGGGCTGGAGTCAAGTTTAGGACCTAGGGCAGGCACCAGAGCCAGGGCTAGGACTGGGGCTGGAGCCAGGACCGGAAGCTGGACGTGGGCTGGTGTCTGGGATAGGGCCTGCAGCCAGACCTAGGAGCTTGGATTAGGATTGGGGCAAGGAGGTATCCTGGGAGTTAGGGCTGAAACTAGAGCTGGGAATAGCCCCTGCTGGGGAAGGACTGAAACCAGGGTTGGAGTCTAGACTGAGGCTGGAAATGAGAGTGGATACGGGGCTGGGCTAGGAGCCAGGCAAACACATTGCCTGGCCCCTGCACTGGGTGGGACAGGGGATAGGCATCTTCCTGGGGCCCAGGACACCCTGATTCTTTCTTTCCCTTTCCTTCCTTCCTTCCTTCCTTCCTCCTTCTTTTATTTATCTCGTAAATTTTAACAGCTTTATTGAGATCTAATTCACCCACCATACTATTCATCCGGTAAACTTTATTGGCTTTACTTCTTTGCAAATAAATAAATCTGGTGCTATCTACGATTCCTTTCCCAGAAACAACCACAGTTACCAGGTTCTTGTCCACACTATCAGAGAGTCTTTGCATTTATAAGCAAATGGGCATCAGGGGAACACCCTTTAAATTACAAAAAAAAAAAAAAAAAAGCGGTCATGAGGTTTAGATAAAGCAGAAAAATCTGGCAGCTAAGGCTGATTTCACCTCAGTTTCAAGCTGAGTGAAGAAAAAAAGCTGCCAAAGTCAGGGTTCTGGAGAAGGCAAAATCTACCCACTGAACAAGCCACAGGCCTGTGAATCAGGCAAGATGTTGTTGTTCACATGCCGGTTCAGGATAAGGCCATAAGATCCCCCAGCTCTCTCTAATCTGGGTGCAATTAATGACAATCTGCCCATCTTCTTATTCTCCCAACCCAAGGTCTCAGTGGCAAGGACTGGGACACTTTCAATGACTCTAAATTAACACTAGGTGTCTAGAAATCAGTGAGGATGGAGGATGTCATCGGTAAACTCTTGGCCCATGAAGACAGGGCAGGAATTCTAGAATTTCAGTGTGCCCCAATTCTCTCTTTTCCTGCAGCATAATTGGGAGTCCAGAGGAAATTTCTTCTGCCCTAGCTGGACTCAATTTCTTAGTCTGCAGAATGAGTTGGCACAAGTGGATATACAGTAAAATGTCTCCCTCCCAGCCCTGTCTCTCAGCCACCCACCCAAGCCAGAGGTAGCCACTGTTCCTAGTTTCTTGTGTATCCTTCCATTCATTCAACCAACAATTATTTTTCAAACTCTTTTCATGTGTCAGGCACTATTGTAGACACTGTGGATACAGAAGTGAACAAAGAGACAAAAGCCCCTGTCCTCGTGAAGCTGACATCCTATAAGCTGACATTCCAGGGTTTCTTATGAATATGCAAACACATACATACAGAAGATTGCTAACTTACAATGGTTGGGCTTACAATTTTGTGACTTAACAGTGGTATGAAAGTGATACACATGCAGTAGAAACCGTACTTTGAGTACCCATACAACCATTCGGTTTTTCTCTTTCAGTACAATATCAATACCTTACATAAGCTACTCAACATTTTGTTATAAAATAGGTTTTGTGCTAGATGATCGTGCCCAATCACAGGCTAATGTAAGTGTTCTAAGCATGTTTAAGATGGTCTAGGCTAAGCTAGGATGTTCAGCAGGTTAGGTGTATTAAATGAGTTTTTGACTTAGGACATTTTCAACTTACGATGGCTTTATTAGGACATAGCCCCATCATACATTTTGGAGCATCTGTACATTCCCATTTTTATCCTTTTTAAGCCCAAATGTAGCCTACTACTTGTTTATACCTTGTTTCTACAAATTATTATTCAGTTACCTTGGAAAGATTCTATAACTGCATGACATGCTTGCTCATTTTTTTCTCCACCTTTATAATGCTCCACCATATGTGGTCCCTGCTTTTATTCCTCCAGTCCCCAGTTAATGGATATTGAGGTTGCTTCCAGCCTTTTACTAATCCAACCAGTGATACGATGAGTAACATTTCCATATCTCATTTCACACACATGTGAGTAAATCTGGAGGATAAAATGTCCAAAAAGAAAGAGCTGAGTCTAAGGCTTTCTTTTGAAAAACTCCTCTTTGCTTCTAAATCCATTACAAAAAATGTCTCTTGATTATTATAATATCATCGGACAACAGGAACCTGTACAAAATAAAAGTGAAAGTTGGGCCCTCCATCCTGCCCCCATCTTCCTCCTCTCCATCTTCATCCACTCAAACCTGCTCTGCAGAAGTCACAGCACTTGAGGGAATTTCTTTCATATTCTTCCCAAACACAGGCACCACTGCGGTCTTTCCAGCCTTCTCCTATATGTTCACCCCATTTCTCTTTATTTACATTAATACTTTCTTTCTTCTCTTGCCACACATGGGGTTAGGCTTGATGTGCCCCAAGTCCTGGGCATCTTTCCAATTCTGTGCAAATGCCTCCTCCTTCATGACTGCGGAACATTTCCAGGGACGCCAAAACGCAACGGATTCAGCCAGTCCTGGCTTTTGGGCATCTAGGCTATATCTTTTTTGGTTGGTTGGTTAGTTTGTTTTTCTATTACAAGCAAGTCCCCAGGGCCATTCTTGACCATGCTCCCTAGAGGATAACTCCTGAGAGTAGACTGCTGGGTCAAAAAGCAAGCACAGTTGGGATTTGATAATAGCTACCCAGTTGCTGGTGTCCCTCCCACACCACCTCTTTCTTCCACTAAACCTCAATCTATATTACTCCAGGGCCGGGTATCTCTTTTCTCCCCTCCTCAATCTGTGCCTACAGTGGGCACAGGACGTTCCACCACACTTGAGTCTCATCGTCGGGCTGCAGGGACTCCAGGGCCGGGGAGGCGCGCGGGGGTGCGTGCTTCGCGAGGATGCCAGGCTCACCTCTGTGCGCCCCCTACCCCGCAGCGCGCTCGAGAAGCGGTTGCAGGCCCTGGAGACCAAGCAGCAGGAGGAGCTGGCCAGCATCCTCAGCAAGAAGGCGAAGCTGCTGAACACGCTGAGCCGCCAGAGCGCCGCCCTCACCAACATCGAGCGCGGCCTGCGCGGTGTCAGGCACAACTCCAGCCTCCTGCAGGACCAGCAGCACAGCCTGCGCCAGCTGCTGGTGTTGTTGCGGCACCTGGTGCAAGAAAGGGCTAACGCCTCGGCCCCGGGTGAGTGAGCGGTGTGCGCCCCAGTGTGGCTAAAGACGGGCAGGAGAGGGGAGGGGAGACCCTGCTCACCCTCCAGGGTCTCTGGGCGCCTGGGAGCCATTGCGGGCCCCACCCTCCCCGACCATCTGTGAAATAGAAACAACAATAAACAGTAATAATGGCGTCAACAACAATCCCAATCCAGGCCCTGTCCCCTGATTCCATGGGTGACCTTGGGCATGCCCCTGCCCCTCTCTTGGCCTCAGTTTACCCATGGGTTTTGGAGGCGAGGATGAGGGCAACAGCAATCCAGACTGACAAGTTTGGTCTCCAGGATTCATTCTCCAGCCCCACTTTCTTGGGCTTGTCCTACCCCTCCCTGGGCCTCAGTTTTCCTGGCTGTAGAATGGGAGGAACTGGGAGGTTAGACTCAATGCACCCCAAGGACCTCTCTCATCTTAATGCCCCTGCCCCTAAGCCCAAGAGGGCCAAACAGAAGTGAAGAGGCATCCCTGGCCCTGGCTTCTGGGTCAAGAAAACAATTCTGGGCTGGGCTCCCAGGCTCTCACTGACTCCTTCTAACACGGCCTACTTGGGGTGTCCAAGGCATTCTTGGCCCCAGCTGCAATCACTCAGTCAACAAACATTTACTAAGCACTTACTGTGTGGCAGGCCCAGTGCTGGGTGCTGGGGATACAGCAGTGAATGCACAGTCACAGCTCCTGTCTCTTGCAAAAATGTCCAGTCCCTGGTTTACGGGTCCCAAAGGGAAGGAGAAAGAAATACATGGTTTTTGAGTGCATAATATGTGCCAGATGCTCAGCTATCAGTGTTCCTGAAGTTTCCAGACCATAAAAATAGACAGGTCCAAAGGCTGTGCGAAGGAGAAGGGCTCTTAGCCTGAGGCTAGCAGGGGGCATGGGAGGCTTTTGAACAGAGTGGGACTACTTTCAAGAAGCTCTGACTGGAACCATGAGTGGAGATGTCCTGATGAGAGAGAAAGACCAAAGGGGCTACTGCTGCTCCTGGATCCATAGTGGAAGGCTGGAAAGCCTTTAAGACCCAATAGTGATGGCGCTCCCGGCACCACCAGGGCTGACAGGGATTTGAGGGCAGAAGATTCCACCCTGGCTCCATCTCAGTCTGGCAGACCCAGCTGAGTAGGGGTTTGAGGCCTAAGGAAGCTACAGGTAGGAAAAGTAGACACCTTCCAAATCGCGACATGTGGATTAACCTGAACCTATTACTGGCGTATGCACAGACCTGGCCTTGAGCTGCCTGAATTCATCCCATGTGTGGGTTTCTTGTAGCTCAGCCCAAGGCACAGGGCCTGGGCCCAATGCCTCCCACTAACCCACTGGTAACCCAGTCCCCAGATGAGGCTGAATGTCTGCTCAATCGTCTGAGTAGGAGGTTGTGTTGGGCACCTCACCTTGGGCACCTTTTGCCCAAACACCCTGTCCCCCGTGCTCCACTATCACCAGGGAAGGACACTAGGCAGTTGCTTTCACCCCCTTCTGGATGGAGAAACTGAAGGAGAGGCTCAGTCACCAGGTGTAGAAGAGAGGGCTGGATGGAGATGGGGCACAGGAACCAGGCATCCTTGAAGTCTAGCAGGAAGGGAGCACTAGCTCTCTGCATGGCTTTGTCCCAGTCAGGTGGAGGCTAGTGAAAGGAGAAGAGAGTCAAGTCTTCTGATGTTCCCAGGCACTGGGGAGTTTGGTTCAGAAGGTTACAAGGACATGGGCACAGGCAGAAAAGACCAAACTTGTGCATGATATAAAAGCAGCGATTGTTCATGCAGGCTGTTTGCCCAACCTTACATATGCTCAGTGGTGGAAATCCAAAGGAAGATGTGTAGGAGGAAGGGCACTGGCTTTGCAGTCAGATGGGCCGGAGTTCAAGCCCTGGCTCCTTCACTTATTAATTAGCACTGGAACTTCATACAAGTCATTTATTTAACTTCTCAGAGCCTCAATTTTTCTTACTTGTAAAACGGGAATAATAATCTCATAGAGTTCTTGCACAGAGAATCGGATGAGTTCATGCATACAAAAGGGTTCAGCACAGTGCCTATGCACAAAAGCGAGGGAAACTGGTACAAATTACCAGCCCAGATATTCAGAGGAGGACCAGATCAAACTGTTGCATATCAATATCAGTCCATCCTATTCTTATGCCTCCCAAAAATATTTTTCCTGGCCCCAAACTACCCCTGGCATTACATGACACCTTGGAAACACTACAATACATGGTGAGTATTTCACTTTTTGTGTTGATATTATTGTTGTTATTGTTATTGATATTGTTGTAGACTAAGGAAAATAACAGTGAGCAGAGCCTTGGAAAGGGTGGCTGGAAATCTCAGGCCAACCCTGGCTCTGTCCTTGCCTTACTGGGTGAGGTTCAGCCCATCCCTGCTCACCTTGAGGCCAACAGCCTCCTCATGCTTGGCTGGACTCCAATTCCCTGTGGGGAGCTGAGGGGGTGCCAACAGGTGGGGCAGGGGTCTCCACTGCCCAGGAAATGCTTGTGAGTGAACTGGAATTGATTTGGGGGTCTTAGTCATCTCATTTGTGACATGAGAGCAATAGCCTTCTCTGGACAAGTGCCCCAGATCCAGGATCTGGGATCCCTGAAGTTCAGATGTAAAGCCAAACCAGGAAGTCCCACCCTGTGGTAGCCTCCTGGTTCCTCACTGGTGTTGACAACCTATCCATCTGGAATTTTAGCCCCATCCTGGGTACCTGGCTACCCAGAGAGATTGGATTCTGGTAGAATCATAGTTCAAACCTCTAACTGGATTCCACTAATTGAGACAGAGGAGATTTTAAATCTCTGCACTTTGTTTGTCAACAGTCACTTTTTCCAGGCCAGGCCTAGAAACCCCTGGTAGGTTTTAGTCATTAATACTATCCCGATCTCATGTAGTCCAGAGGGAAGAAACAGGGGCCCTTTAAGGCCAGCAGTCAGCTTCAAGGGAGGACAGAATAAGGGAGCATATGCCCAGGGCAGCAGGGAGATACAGCCAAAAGGGTGGGCTATGAAGGGGAGCCCACAGCTTCCCACCCAAGGGAGCTCCAAAGAAGGAAGGTTCTGCCTTACCTGGCTGTGTGCCCTTGGGCCAGTTGCCTCACTCTTGGGCCTCAGTTTCCTGGTCTGTGAAATGGGAAGTGCCTCACTGGAGTTCAGGCCCCAGTAACTCTCTCCCAGAAAACTCTAGCAGCCTCCTCTCTGGCCTCCCAGCTTTGAGTCTCATCCCCTCCAGGCCCCCCTCCACACTCTGGACAGAGTGCTCTTTCTCAGCCCAGAGAATCTGGGCTCCGCAGCCTGGCACTCACGGCTGACTTGGCCCTGCTGAAATCTCAGCTTCGTCTCTCCTTTTCCTTCCCCACCTTCTCTGTGCCAGCCTTGTTCTACCCTCTCAGTTGCATCATACAGCAAGCAGCCTCCCTGGTCTCAACTCCTCTCTCACGGTGTGAGTCATTTCCTCTCCTTGGCCTCAGCCTTAGTTCCCCTCCCCATGCCCTGTCCTCTGCACACACTAGGGCCCTTCCTACCTTGGGGCCTTTGCATATGCTGTTTCTTCCGCCTGGAACACCTTCCCCTTCTCCACTGGGCAACTCCTGCTCATTACACAGGTTCCAGCTTACTGTCACCTCCTCTACGAAATCTTCCCAGGTCTGACTCATCTCCCTGTCCCCAGCACCTCCCAACCCAGAACCTGGCACAAAGCAGGCAGGCATGCCCACTTGGCCCCTTCTCTCTTTCCTTGCCCACCTCCAACTGACTTTTGTGTTGTCCCTTTGCAGCCTTCATAATGGCAGGTGAGCAGGTGTTCCAGGACTGTGCAGAGATCCAGCGCTCTGGGGCCAGTGCCAGTGGTGTCTACACCATCCAGGTGTCCAATGCAACGAAGCCCAGGAAGGTTAGGGGGCTCCCTGGGAACTGTGGCTGTTAGAGGGTGCTGAGCCAAGGGCTTCCCAAACAGACACCCCGCACCCCATCGGGATCAGGCTTTGTCCAGTATCTGAAATACCAGAGGTGTAGGGGTGGCTTTGACTTCCCAGCAGTCAGGGATCAGATTGTGGGGATAAGCAGAAGTTCCCAAAGTTGGAAGTGCATCCTTAACCAGCATCACTTCAGAGGTGCTTTAACTGGAACAGCACAAAATAGTTCAGTGTTGGTTAAGATGATGATAGCTGATATTACAAACAACCCCCAAAATTCCAGGGCCTTAGCCCAAAGACGTTTCTTTCTAGTTTACATATAGTCCAGTTGAAGGCAGGAGTTGGGGTTCTGCTCCATGTGGGAAATTAGAAACCAGGGCTAATAGAGGTGCCACCATTTTCAATCAGTGGCTCCCAAGGTTGTCCTAAAATTTAAGGTCAAGTCATCCGATAAGAAGGGTGACAGAGAAGAGCACGGATGTCAGGAGGGAGGGTCTGAGAGCCAGGCCTAGAAGGGAAACAACTAGCAGATTCCTACTTCATAATTCCCTTTTTTTTTTTGAGACAGGGTCTTGCTCTGGTGCCCAGGCTGGAGTGCAATGGCATGATCACAGCTCACTGCAGCCTTGACCTCCTGGGCTCGAGTGATCCTCCTGCCTCAGCCTCCCAAGTAGCTGGGACCACAGACACATGCCACCATGGCCTGGCTAATATTTTTAAACATTTTGTAGGGACAAAGTCTCCCTGTGTTTCCCAGGCTGGTCTGAAACTCCTGAGCTCAAGCGATCCTCCCTCCTCGGCCCTCAAATTGCTAGTATTACCATTGCTCTATTTCCTTTCACCCCCTCTTAATATACTAAGGAGAATGCCTCTGTTTGTCTCCAGGTTGTCTTTTACACTTCTCACACACCTGCTAACCTCTCCTTTCAACAAAAAGAGGTCGAGCTTCCGTTTACCTAGTACTGCCAGGCACTGTTCTAAACACTTTACGTGACTCATCTCGTTTAATTTTCACAACCCCAGTTGGTAGATGAGAGACTGAGGCACAAAGAGGTTAAGGTATGAATCTCCATTTTACAAATGAGAGGAAGGCTCTGAGAGGTCATTCCTTACCCACCACTTTAGAAAAATGATGACAATGGGTGGGGAATTTAAGCCTGGATCTTTCTGATGCCCAGGACCCCCAGGCTCACCTGTTGCTCTGTGGGGGTCTGTCTGCTTAGCCACATTTGGGCTAGCACAGGCCTGGCCTCTGGCTACCTCCAAGGGCTCCCAGCTGTGCCTTGCCCACCCCCTCCAGGTGTTCTGTGACCTGCAGAGCAGTGGAGGCAGGTGGACCCTCATCCAGCGCCGTGAGAATGGCACCGTGAATTTTCAGCGGAACTGGAAGGATTACAAACAGGTAGCCCTGCTGCCTTGGGGAGGGGCCATTCTGCTCTGAAACCTGGGGCTGGGGCTGGGCTGTTGGAAGGGGACTGCTTTGCCCTCATTCCTCCCCCAGAAAAAATCAACTCATCTAAAGCTGACAGTGCACATCTGCTTTATGGGACCCCATCACCTGAATTTGAATGTTCTTTCTGAAAGTTCTGACATATGTTCTAAGAAAAAAAGTTTAGCTTTATTTTTGTTTTAATTTTTTTTAAAAAAATACATATACATTTCTAATTTTTTAAAGAATACAAAGGAGGAGACAGAATAAAAATCCCCCCAGTCAACCCTGACTGCGTTGCTTTAATGAAGTTTCTTGTCTTTTCATACGTCTATGATCATATCTGCAGGAGAGATTCATTAACGAGGAATTGCAGGCCCAAAGATCACATGTATTTTATCAGATGAGAAGCCCGATTGTTTTCCAATTTTTTAATTAGGTTTTGAATAAAGGATTTTTTGCCAAGCTGACTTAAAATACTTAAAAGCTCTTAAAGTTTTCAAAGCCAAAGAAATAGAAAAAGATACCCACAAAGTGATACAGCAGTTCTATTATTTGCGTCTGCTTGCTGTTCATTTAAGGAATACTTAAAAATAAATACCAAATTAAGTTATGAGTGTTTTGAACTAATTGGGCTTTAAACAACCATTAAAATGGCAAGGAGGAATAGGGTGTCCAGGTGCAGAAATACACAAAAGAACCCTGAATATTAACCATCAGGCTAACCCGCATTGCATCGTGACTAAATTGGGGAGCGGGCCTTGGGTGTGCCCCTGTCCTTGGTGCTGAATTCTTGTTCTGTCCAAGGGCATTGGGACATGACATTCCCCACACTCTCAGTTTTACATTTCTGTGTTGCTGAAATCTTGCAGTGGCTGCGCTGTCACTGAACAAAGTTTGCTCTACTATTTATGTAGCTGATTGAAATATTTTATTTAATTTTTGTTGAGGTTTAACGTACATGTGTCTAAGCGCACAAATAAAGTGTAAGGCTCAGTGAGCCTTTAGATATGTATTTAACCACGTGACCACCATTCAGTGCTAGATGTACAACACTCCCAGCACCCCAGAAGCCCACTTTGTGCCCCCTCCCAGTCAATACTCCACCAAAGGTAGTCACCAAATATTACTTTTTCCTGTTCTTGAACTTCAGAGGAATGTGATTTCAATAACTTTTAACAGGCTTTTACACTTACAAAAGCCTTAGTCTTTTCCCTCTAGCAGGTGGAGGGCTCCTACTCCCAGTCCTGCCTACACTGTACTTATGAACTCGATCATTAAGCACAGTGGTTTTGTATAAGTAGCCCTGGAGCCTGGCCCAGCCCAGCTCCTCAGCCAGGGACATGGCCTCCTCCTCAGCATGAGTCTCACCCCACGCTCCCCTCCCTATAGGGCTTCGGAGACCCAGCTGGGGAGCACTGGCTGGGCAATGAAGTGGTGCACCAGCTCACCAGAAGGGCAGCCTACTCTCTGCGTGTGGAGCTGCAAGACTGGGAAGGCCACGAGGCCTATGCCCAGTACGAACATTTCCACCTGGGCAGTGAGAACCAGCTATACAGGTGGGTTCGGGGCCCAGGCCGTTGTGGGGGCTGGGGTCTTCAGCTAGTGGGCGGGCTGGGGTCCCCAGGCTAGTGTCTACAGAGTCTGCTCCAACGGTCAGTCTCTGGGTGTCTCCTGTTCCTACCATCTGTCCCCCATTTGGGTGCACGTCATGGGATCTGGAGGTGGCTGGTTAGCACTCAGCATGTCCTAGCCACTGGGTGGAGTGGAAAGAATGTCATTGGTGCTGCCATCCGAGGAGCAAGAAGGGGTCTTCCAAGGTCAGTCACCCCAAGTCAGCCTTTTTACAGAGACCCAGAAGCAAAAGGAGGTGACTTGCCCAGCCTGTCCTATGCCCTGGGGCTGGGTGGAAGGGTCCCTGGGCCAGAAGTTGAAATTCCTGCACTCATTGTGGCCTTGCTCCAGCTTGCTTTGGGAACTTGGACAAGTCAGTCTGGCTTCTCTGAGCTTCTGCTTCTTCAATAGCAGGATGAGCTTAAACATGACGATCTTGTAAGATCATCAAGGTTTCTCACCCCTTCCTCAGCCTGGTTCTTGGTATATTTGGGAAAAGGAACTAGCATTTATTGAGCACCTACTGTGTTCCAGGCACCATTATTCCATTTAATCTTCCCCACAACACTTTGAAGTAGGCATTACTGTACCTACTTTAGTAATATGGAAACTGAGATGCCAAGTTTAAGTATCCTGCCCAAAGTTACAAGTTAAATGAGCTGGAATTTGAACTCAGATCTCCCTGCTGTCAAAACTCATGATGTCTCCACAACATGATATTGCCTCTCAGAGAAATTTAAGGATCTTTTAGATAAGCCTGGGTCCTGGCTATCTCTGAACCAGGATTCACACTCACAGGGCTGCAAAAAATCTCACGTGTCATCTGGTTCTTCATAGATTCCCTCCATAGTTGCAATCATCATCCAGCCGTGCTGGAATACCTCCACTGGTGGGAAGGTCGCTTCCCCACAAGGAATCTCTGAATGACTCTCTGTCCTCCTGAACTTTATGCCTGATTCCACTTCTGGGAACTTCTCAGTGATATGCCCCCACTGTTTCCTCCAGCTGAGTCCCATTTAAGCCACTGGCCACCAAAGCAAAGGCTTTTTTGAGGCAGGGTCTCACTCTGTTGCCCAGGCTGGAGTGCAGTGGCATGATCACAGCTCACTGTAGCCTTGACCTCCCAGACCTCCCAGGCTCCAGTGACCTTCCCACCTCAGCCTCCCAAGTAGCTGGGATTACAGGCATGCACTACCATGCCCAGCTGATTTTTGTATTTTTTATAGAAACAGGGTTTCCCTATGTTGCCCAGGTTCTGACATCCCTCCTTATGGGATCCATACCAACCTGATAATGCAAGGTCCAGAGCTGAATGAAAAATTCCCTGGATGTCCCCCTACTCCTCACACCTGACCAGTGAGTAGCTACAACACTATGCTGAGTCCCATTTAAGCCACTGGCCACTAAAGCAAAGGCTTAAATCCCGACTCCATCCCTACTTCCCTGAGTGACCCTGAGCAAGTCCCTTCACGGTTTCATCTGTAGAATGGGTGCTTTAGGCATACCTACCTCAAAAAGGGTGTGATGAGGCCTGAATGAGATACTGCACATGAAGCATTAACACAGTGCCTGGCATGTAGTAAACGCTCAGCAAACAATATTACGATCACTGTCTCGTGGCAGCCTTTCACACCCTTGACTGGACTGCTTTCTGGGAGCACGGCTGTTCCCATCCCCAGACATAGTAAGTGCCTAAAAGGAAGCTGAGGGAGCCTCCCAAGTCTTTTCTACACAGAGAATAATTAAGTCTCATTTCCCTGGCGACAGACACAATCTATGACTGGAGGTGTGGGGACTGAGCCAACCATATACCCAGGCTCTGTATTCCCTCTGAATTCCCACTGGGGAATTTCTCAGGCCCTGCCCTGAGGGTACAAGAGCTTCCTTGAGCTGCCCTGGCCACATCTGCCACCCACTTGCCTCCACCCAGCAAGACCTTCTTTTTTTTTTTTTTTTTTTTTGAGACAGGGCTTACTCTGTTGCCCAGGCTGGAGTGCAGTGGCATGATCACAGCTCACTGCAGCCCTGACCTCCCAGACCTCCCAGGCTCCAGTGACCAGTGACCTTCCCACCTCAGCCTCCCAAGTAGCTGGAATTACAGGCATGCACCACCATGCCCAGCTAATTTTTGTATTTTTTATAGAAACAGGGTTTCCCTATGTTGCCCAGGCTGATCTCGAACTCCTGGGCTCAAGCAATCAGCCTGCCTCAGCCTCCCAAAGTGCGGGGATTACAGGCGTGAGCCACCCTACCCAGCCTCAGCAGGACCTTCTTAATTGCTCCCAAATTGGCTCCCTACTTCAGCTGCCAGTGCAGCCTCCCCCAACCCTGCCATACAAACACCCCGCATTCTCTCCAACCAGGCCCAGCCATCTGCCAAGGGCCAAATAATAACAAGCACTGAATGTTGAGCACTCACCCCGTGACACTGCTCTGCACACTTCACACACTGACATCACCAAATCAATAATAAACGAGGGCAGCACTGCTAATTTCACTATCATTACCACTGGAACAGATGAAGAAACTGAGGCTCAGTGGGGTGAGCCAATCCTCCAAGGCCATGCAGCTCTAAGTGGTAGAGCTGGAATTTGAATCCAGGCTTTCTGCCCCCAGATCTCATGGTCTTCATCACCAGGCAGGCTTGGACATGCCCACCAAGGCCACAGAGCCTGGCAAAGAAATAGAAATCCTCACCTGGCTGGCAGCAGATGTCGAAGCTGCAGAGCTGGGGTGCCCTGGAGCCCAGATCCATGGGGGCTGGTGTAGTCAGGGAAGGCTTCTTGGAAGAGGTGGGTGAATGTGAGGAGGTGCGATGGGGCTGGGGTTGCCAGATCATCATCAGCTGGGGAACAAAATGCACGTAGACTCCCAAGTCAGGCCACACTAGGCTGGCATGTGGCTCTGACCCTCATTCATTCTGAGACTTGAGCAGGTTTCTTTGGCTCTTGGGATTTCTGTTTTCGCATGTGTAAAATGGAAATAGGGTGTTGTGAGGATTAAAGGAGAATGAGTTAACCTATGCAAAGCACTTTGAACACATAGTAGATGCAAAGAATAGAAAAAAAAGAAAGAAAAAGAAACGTTGCCGGGCACGGTGGCTCACATCTGTAATCCCAGTGCTTTGGGAGGCCAAGGCAGGCAGACTGCTTGAGCTCAGGTGTTCAAGACCAGCCTGGGCAACATAGTGAGACCCTATGTTTGTATTTTACAAAAAATACAAACATTAGCTGGGCATGGTGGCCCGTGCCTATTGTCCCATTTACTCAGGAGACTGAGGTGGGAGGATTGCTTGAGCCCAAGAGGTCAAGGTTGTAATGAGCCGTGATTGTGCCACTGCACTCCAGCCTGGCAACAGAGCAAGTTGCTGTCTCTAAAGAAAAAAATGTATATGTATTAGCCATTATTATCATTATTGTGACCATTATCACTTCTCTCCAAGACTCAGGTTCAGTGAGATAGGGGAGGCCTGGCATACAGTAAGTGCTTTGTCCCTGGGAGGCAGCAGGCAGGGAAGGCAATCCAGGAAGGGAAACAGCCCAAGCACTCCACCCAGGCTGGGGCTGTCCCTCCAAGAACACCTGGAGGGGAAGCCCAGCCTGGGACAAAGCCACTGGGGAAGTTCTTGCTCGACACAGCCCCAACCTGACTCTGGGCCCTTCTGCCACCACCACCTCTGGGTGGCCTCCAGGCTTTCTGTGGTCGGGTACAGCGGCTCAGCAGGGCGCCAGAGCAGCCTGGTCCTGCAGAACACCAGCTTTAGCACCCTTGACTCAGACAACGACCACTGTCTCTGCAAGTGTGCCCAAGTGATGTCTGGAGGTAGGTGCAGGGTGGGGTGAAGCTCCGCCCACCCACAGGCTCACCCAGATTGACACTCCCATTCCCTCCCCAGGTTCTTGTGCGCCCAGGTGCTGTCAGGAGGATGGGTGCAGGTCTGGGCCTTGCCCACCCATAAGCTCACCTGGCTGTGCCCCTTCGGTGCCTTCCCCCATTGAGTCCTTGAAGTCCCCTCCAGGTCTCACCTCCTCCTAAAGCTGGCACCACCAGTTTTCCTCAGAGACAAGGCTAAAGAAACACTGAGTGCAGGGCCCCGGGGGGGAGGCACCCTATACCCTATCAGTCCCAACCCCAGGCAAGCCGAACCAGGATCAGGAGACCAGAGGGAGGCAGAGGGGCAGCTCCACACCAGCTGTGGCTCAGGCAGTGTTCCTTGGTAGGCACAGAGGTCAGAGAACAGGAAGTGGGGTGAATGGGAGACAGAGACAAAGTAAGAAGAACAGAGACAGGGGGAGAGACCTTCTGAGACACAGAGGACAGATGGAGAAAGAGAGAGACACCAAGGCTGTCAGAGTCATTGAGCAGCAGATGGAGAGCTATACTGGGGCAGAGAAGTACAGAGGGAGATGGGGGAGAAAGACTTAGCCCAAGGAGAGGCCGGGAGACAAACACAGCATGTGAAAGATGGGGGCCCAGAGGAAGGGAGGGCCAGAGACACGAAAGGCAGAGAGGGACAAAGACCATCAGAGAAAGATGAACACAATGGGACACACAGAGACAGACCCACGCACAGAGACCATAAGAGAGAAAGAGATGAACCTGGAGAGTGAGAGACTCAGAGAGAGTGACAGAGACCACTAGAAAGCAGTGAGCAGAGCGATGAGGGGAGGTTGGGGAGCTGGAAAGACAGGTTCAGTGAGGGAGGAAGACAGGGACGCCAAGGGCTCAGGGAGAAGGCCGGGAGGAGCAAGGGGGCTCGAGGAGTGGCCAGAGCCCCTTGCTGCCCTCTAGAGGCCCCGGCTGAGCAGAGGGTCTGTTGTCCACCCCACCCCCACTCCCACCCAGCCCCATCCCCAGCCAGCTGGCTTCCCAGAGGAGGCAACAGCCCCGATTAGTCTTTGTTCTCTTTGGGACACAGGGGCTGCCCTCTTGCCACTGGCTGGGCTCCCACCTCCACCAAGCGCCTGTCCTCCCTCTTCCACCAGGGTGGTGGTTTGACGCCTGTGGCCTGTCAAACCTCAACGGCGTCTACTACCACGCTCCCGACAACAAGTACAAGATGGACGGCATCCGCTGGCACTACTTCAAGGGCCCCAGCTACTCACTGCGTGCCTCTCGCATGATGATACGGCCTTTGGACATCTAACGAGCAGCTGTGCCAGAGGCTGGACCACACAGGAGAAGCTCGGACTTGGCACTCCTGGACAACCTGGACCCAGATGCAAGACACTGTGCCACCGCCTTCCCTGACACCCTGGGCTTCCTGAGCCAGCCCTCCTTGACCCAGAAGTCCAGAAGGGTCATCTGCCCCCCAACTCCCCTCCGTCTGTGACATGGAGGGTGTTCGGGGCCCATCCCTCTGATGTAGTCCTCGCCCCTCTTCTCTCCCTCCCCCTTCAGGGGCTCCCTGCCTGAGGGTCACAGTACCTTGAATGGGCTGAGAACAGACCAAACTTGATTCCCATGACCAATGGTGGGGTTGCAGGCAGGTGGGAATGTATTTGCACATCGGAAGCTGCCCAGATGGCCCAGGTTCTCTCCCTTGGATTGGCAAGAAGGCCATCTCCCATTCTAAGCTCCTGTTCCAAGATTTTCTAGTCTTGAGATGTCCTTGAACTTTCTTTTCAAGTCTGAAGGGGCTGCATCCACCCCTTAGTGGGTGGGTTAATCATTATTTCCCCTTCACACTTCACCACTTCTAGGTTCTAATGACCCTAGATCTCAGGGTCTTTAGACTTCACCACTTCTAGGCTTTACCACTTCACCACTTCTAGGCTCCAATGTTTGGAGCTCAGGGTCTTTAGGAGACCCAAAAGGACATGCTCCTTCACCTCCAGCATGTCCTAGAGGATGTGTCACAGGGAATAACTATGGCTTGTCTCTAAAAGTACCTATGAGCAATGAGAAAAGGAAACAGCAGGTTAAGTCAAAGTGAACAGGCACTCTTCACTGCAGGACTGATCAGAGCCTTTAATATGGCCAAGTGCCTTGTGACTACCCATGAAGGGGCTAGAGTGGGCAGCTTTCTCCAAATTTACTTATTTGAAAATGGGCTCGGTTTGTCCCAGAGCATCTCACAGGACTGTAGATGCTCTTGGACAAAGCTAGTGCTCCCCTGGCATAAGGAGGAGCCCTACGACCCCATCCCCACCCCAGCTATACTCACCCTTTTTGGCTACAAGGGCCACAGTGACAGCCTCAAACAACCTCTAAAAACAACTGGAAATAACCTTTCAGTTAAAACAGATACCATCCCTGAAGAAGGGTCTAGAACTAGGTCCCTGTCTGTGTTATAGGCTCATGTCCTCCAAGGCTCCTTCAAGTCCCAGGAAGCTGATCTCTACCTGGGTGGCTTCCCTTAGGACTCCCTGTAACCTCAACTCCCCCAGGCTCAATTACAGGGACTGTTAGGCAGGACATCTGTCTCCAAGTCCAGATCCTCTCTGCCTCCAAGCCCTAACCCCTAGCCTCCCTCCCTTCCCCATCCAGCAGTGATGCTGCCTCTGTGGTGGTAGGTGGGGAGCTGCAGGGGAGGAGATAAGGCCTCTGCCTGAGTTTGGGAGACCAGGGCCCTCATAGCTTCTTTCAGAGGATGGAGTCAGAAAGGATCCACAGCTACTCTGTCACCTGCCCCCATCACTGTGTCATGCTGTCTGCCCTGTTGTCATCAGCCAACACCCAGGCATAGCCAGGAGCCCACCTGCCCTACCGCCAGGATACACCTCTGTCCTCAGAAGGTTTTCTCCTGGATGAGACTGAGCCAATGGGAATGGGACCCCTTCATCCCCCTGGCTCGCCCCAGCCCTGAGTCCCACTCTCAGCCGATCCCTGAGTAAACCCAGCACAGACTGACTTTGATCTCATTCCTGGGAATTAGCACTCTTCCCCTTCAAGACTCAAAGGACATGGTTGCTAATGGTGGCATTTCAGGCATGATGGGAAATCTTTAGGGGCAGATTGCTGCCCAGAGAGCTCAAATCGCCTTAAGCAGCATTTGCCCAGCAGACCTTTATTTAGCCTCTACTGTGTGCAGTGTGGTGTGGTGGGCAGGGCTTTGGAGTCGGACAAACCTGCTCCAGCTCTGACACTTTGGTCCAGTGGCTCAGCCTCTCAAGGCACCAGTTATCTTCACATCATCAAAGCCTCAGTTTTCCCATCTGTAAAATGGAGATGATAATATTCCTTCCTGGCTGGGCTATGGCAAGGAGGAAATGAGACCATGTATGTCATCTTCTTAATAGAGCCTGGCATGAAGCAGGTGCCTAATAAATGTTTGTCCTCAAAGAGGAGAATGGGGTGAGGAAGGCATTCCCCAGCACATGCCGCCCCTTCTCCTGCACTCAGGTGAGGAAAAGGCATTTTATTTTTGTATCCACATCATTTATTTTTCTATTGTAGTTTCTAGGCTGACTGCAAGCTAGAGAGGAGACAGGGCAAAGCTGTGAGGCCCAGGGACAGAACTCCTCTGGGTGGGTTGAAGGCCCAAGTCCCTCTCTACTCCCATTTTATAAGGGGGCAGGAAGCTGATTTGAGTTATCCTCAGACACCTGTTCTTTATGTAATTTTATTTTATTTTTTTGAGACAGAGTCTCACTCTGTCACCCAGGCTGGAGTGCAGTGGCATGATCTCAGATCACTGCAATCTCTGCCTCCTGGTTCAAGTGATTCTCCTACCTCAGCCTCCTGAGTAATGGGATTACAGACGCCTACCACCACGCCCGGAAAACTTTTGTATTTTTAGTAGAAACGGGTTTTCACCATGTTGGCCAGGCTGGTCTCAAACTCCTGGCCTCATGTGATCCACCTGCCTCAGCCTCCCAAAGTGCTGGGATTACAGGCATGAGCCACCATACCCAGCCTCAGACACCTGTTCTTAAATATTCATCCTTCTTTCTTACCTTCCTTCCTCTTCCATGCCAGGACTCAGGTATAAGGGATAGAAATTCTAGCCCTAAGGAATAAATTGACTCACATAACTGGAAAGTCTAAGGGTAAAGGCAAGTGAGGTTAGATCCAGAGGCTCAAATGATGTCAGCTCCACCTCTCAGCCCCTCCATCTGCCCCGTTGACTTCATTCTCAGCCAGGATCTTTCCTCACAAGAAGGCTCTGGCAGCCCCAGGCTCATGTCCTCCCAGCTCAGCATCCCTGACCCGGGGAGCTCCCTCGTCTCCATGATTCCAGTAAAGGAATGATTTTCTGCAGCCAGGATTGGTCTTGTGTCCATCCCTATGCTTATCACTCTTACTCTGCTTGACCAGACCTCGGTCTCATGATCATGCCTGGCACCAGCAGTGGGGTCAGTGACACCCAAGTCATGACTTCAGGAAACAGGGATGCTAGGCAGCCTTCCCTCGTTCCCTGTCCCTGGCTCTCATCTCTCTTCTCTCCACCTCTGTGCCCTCTCTCGGCCTCCCTGTCCCCAGGTCCTGACCCCAGGATCCAGTTCATCCCAGATTGCCTCTGACTATCAAGGGCACAGCTGTGTCCTGCCCAGGAATATTAGACCCTGTTATCAGTCTGGCTCTGCCATTGGATCAGAGCCCCTGGCCCTCTCTGAACCTCAGTTTCCCATGGACAGAGCACCTAGCAACCTCTGAAAGCCCTTCTGACAGTGAGGCTGACTCACAATGGCTGCAGACAAGACCAACCTGAGGATCCTGGGCAGCACAAGGCACTGTAGAGGGCACGGCTGGTGTGGTCTCGAGCCTAGACTGGGTCTCCTGGGGGCCACAGCTCATAGGTGCCAGCCTCTAGGATACCTGCATCTGCGGGTTCCTATGGAAAACACTTGTCACCTCTCCCTGCACCAGGTTAGTTTTCTTCCCATTTCAGTGATGAAGAAATTAGGCACCGGGCACAGTGGCTCCTAGTCTGTAATCCTAGCACTTTGGGAGGCCAAGGCTGGTGGGTTGCCTGAGCTCAGAAGTTCAAGACCACCCTGGGCAACATGGTGAAACCCCATCTCTACTAAAGATACAAAAACTAGCTGGGCATGGTGACACATGCCTGTAGCCCCAGCTCCTCAGGAGCCTGAGGCAGAAGAATTGCTTGAACCGGGAGGCGGAGGTTGCACTGAGCCGACATCTTGTCACTGCACTCCAGCCTGGGCGATAGAACCAGACTCTGTCTCAAAAAAAAAAAAAAAAAAGAAAAAGAAAAAGAAAAAAGAAATTAGGGCTCAGAGAGGGAAAGGGTCTCATCCAAGGCAGCACAGCCAAGCACCACCTCCAGCGCATTTGCATTTGTGAGCTGCCTTCCTCTCCCAGAGCACTCTGGGCATCTGGGCATCTACCACCAAACTCGTGTACCAAGGGCAGGAGGAACTTCCTGGAAAGGCCTCCAAGACCACTCAGTCTCTCCCACTGGCACTTGATGGATCCATCATTTCTGAGATCTCTGCGTTGTTCCCAGCAAAGGCAGTTTCCACACTGGGGAGAGAGTTCCCTGAGTACACCCCAGAGACAACCACCACAGGTGAGGTAGAAAGTGGCCATGTGCGGGGGGTGAGGGATGGTCCCCACCAGGATGGTTTGTCTCTGCGGCCGAGGGATTTGAGCCTTTTTTCTGAGTTTTCCTCCGCCTCGATCTGTGTGGGCCTTCGCCTCTCCCATTTAAAGATGCTTCCGAAAGCTGACAGCGTCGCCTTGGCAACACCAGTATCAGCATCCTTAAATGAGAAGATGAGGTGAAGTGACTTGCCATGATTTGTTCACTCTACTTCCCCTCCTTAATAAAGCAGCTCACAAAGCTGTAATAATTAATCCAACATGGCACAGGTATAAGGATTAGCAAATGATGACCACAAATAATCCATGCAATATATGTGTATTATTTTTCTTGATCTCACTTAACCTTGAGAAAGAAAATAATTGACCAGACTTGCTTTCTGATGTGACACAAAGGACAAGCCCACATCAGCCCATAGGCTATAAAAACAACTGACAGATATAATAATGCACAACCACTCGATATCTATGTGACCTTAAACAAGTTGCACAACCTCCCTGTGCCTCAGGTTCCCCTCTGTAGCAAACTGGTAACACTGCTGCTTCATGGGGTCATTGAAGGATTGATCAATGAATTTTTCTTTGCTGTGGCATGGGCGTCTTTGGCATCTGGTGAAGCCATGGACCCCTCCTCAGAATGGTGTCTTCACATGCTTAAAATAAAATTAAATGCATTGGATTATGAATGAAACAAATTATATTAAAAACACAGTCATTGGCCGGGCGCGGTGGCTCACGCCTATAATCCCAGCAATTTAGGAGACCGAGGCGGGCGGATCACGAGGTCAGGAGATCGAGACCATCCTGGCTAACACGGTGAAACCCCGTCTCTAGTAAAAATACAAAAAAAGGTTAGCCAGGCATGGTGGCGGGCAACTGTAGTCCCAGCTACTCGGGAGGCTGAGGCAGGAGAATGGCATGAACCCAGGAGGCAGAGCTTGCAGTGAACTGAGATTGTGCCACTGCACTCCAGCCTGGGTGACAGAGCGAGACTCTGTCTCAAAAAATATATATATACTGTCATCAAAATATTTTAAGCTGGGTCCCAGTTACTTGGGAGGCTGAAGTGAGAGGATCACTTGAGCCCAGGGGGTCAAGGCCACCTTGGGCAACATAGCAAGACTTCATCACACACACACACACACACACACACACACACACACACACACACACATATACATATATATATATATACTTTTTTTTTTTTTAAAGAACACAGTTTTGATATTGTACTATATATGCTTCTTTGCTAATACATTAAATAACAAGATCAGTGGTAGGTCAAAACAAATGATGACTGTTAATATTTTGAGATATCTATAATCATTATAACAAGATACAAAAATAGCTATGATTTCTAATGGTGACAAAGTTCCAGGCACTCCTGACACTACTGTGGCTTGTGCCCTACATTCACAATTGAAAGAATGAATTTGTGAATTTGTGAATGCCCTACATTCACAAATGAAGAATGAAACAACCGAATTTAATTAAAGGTGAGTGAAGATACACTTCATCCATGGACCCCAAAAAGACACTAGGTTATGTATCCTTAAAGTAATACATATATTAATTTAGAACATATGTGCTTAGAATAGTACCTGGCATATAGCAAGTACTTGACAAACATTGTTTTTATTAATATATCTTAGGCATAATATAACTCATATATAGTTAATACTCTAAAATGATTGATTTATTAATATATAAATATGCCATTATGCCATATACATCTATCCAGATATTGCATATATGCACATATATGAACATATATGCATATTTGAAACACTGTATGGTTACACTGTACAGTATACCTACTGTGTGGTAGCCACGTACATTGACATGTGCATGAACATGTATGTGCATTTCATACTTGTTGCTACAGACGCAAACATGGAGGTAAAAATACATCTTCCATGTACACATGCAGGTCTGTGAGGCACTTGCTCATGCACACAAGTGGTCACAGGCAGAGAGCCAGATCCACTAGAGATGCTGCCACTCAACTCAGCCTGTCAACAGGCTGACTCTAGAGACCCATTTGGACTCTAGATAGAAACCCCAGAAGTCTTCAGGATCCCTGTTCAAGTCTTGTCCTTGTAGGAGGGGTCCTTTCTAGCGATGGCCAACACCCTGTCTGACCCACATCTCAGAAGAGATGCTACACAGCAAGACCCTGAGCAGTGAGGGACATGAATCATGCCCTTTCCCTTTCCCTTCCTAATATCAGTCCCCAGCTGCAGGGCTAGGTCCTTTAGTCTGAAGGGGTCCCCCAGCCACTGATGTGTTCAGGGACCAAAACTGCAGCCAGTCAGCACATGATATTCCCCTGGCCATGGTTCCTACTGCCAGGGCTGGTCATGTGACTTCAATTAGTTCACTCATACTAAAGAGGAAGACTTAGCGTTTCAGGGATACAGAAAAGTTACCTCTTCTGCTGGCTGGGCGTGGTGGCTCATGCCTGTAATCTCAGCACTTTGGGAGGCTGAGGCGGGTGGATCACCTGAGGTCAGGAGTTTGAGACCAGCCTGGTCAACACGATGAAACCCTGTCTCTACTAAAAATACAAAAATCAGCCAGGAGTGGTGGCAGGCACCCATAATCCCAGCTACTTGGGAGACTGAAGCACAAGAATTGCTTGAATACAGGAGGCAGAGGTTATAGTGAGCTGAGATCGCACCACTGCACTCCAGCCTAGAAGACAGAGCAAGACTCTGTCTAAAAAAAAAAGAAAGAAGAAAGAAAAGAAAAACAAAGATTCTCTCTTCTGTTGATGGAGAAGACACTACACAGCATGGATGCTACTCCAGTGTGGACCACCAGGAGAACCACATTTGGGACCAATCTGACAGGGAGGTGGGAGAGTGAGTGGTTGAGTGGAGGGTCAGAAGGGGCCTGGAGCTTTACTGACATCATTGAGGTCCTGAGTCCTGTCTCTAGATGATCAATTTCTTTTTCATTTAAGCCAGTGGAGTTGGTGTTCTGTTACTTGCAGCCCAGAGCATTCCGAATGATGCAATGCTTACATTTCTGTTTCCTCACTGAACTCCATCCTTACTCTGAGAGAAGAGAACCATATTATATTGCAGAAAACTGAGTCTTAGAGAGGTCAATCAATTTGCTCAAGGTCACATAGACAGTAAACAGAGAAGACAGACCTTTTATATCCAAAACACATCTACCTTCGCCTTTCCACCTTCCATCAGCTGGAAGTTATCAATAAGGGCAGCCAGTTTGGAGTTTGACTCTTGATCCTTTTGTAGCATGCATGTGTTCCTGCTCTGTGCATACAAGCTCTGTGCACAGGTGCCCAGATGCGCATGTGTGTGCTGAGGTTCAACACTGGAACTTATTCAGCTACAACAGATGTGTCCTCTGGGCCCTCGCAGCAACCTGGTATAACACACGTGCCTACAGAGGATGTGTTTGGCATCGCATTCTGCTGCTTTTCTGCTGCTTTTCTGCTTCTTCGACCACATGAATTGGCTTAGGATGCTTAATGTAAGATTTTATATTTTCTTCTTTTCCCCAATTTCTACACTCCATCCCACAAAAAAAGAGCCAAACAGTATTTTCCGTCAAACTGGAAGAAAGGGACTCTGCCAGTCAGGTAAGGGAGGGCAGTTGATAATTGGAATGGCACACCTTGGGACCCAACACAGAGCCCTTCCCTCCTGGGTCTCAGTTCCCCCATCTGGATAATGGGGGCTGGACACCCTCTGGTGACCCTTAGGTGTGGCCTTTGGGAATCTTCAAATCCTCACCATCCGAGCCCAGGCCTCAGTGATCCACATGTGCCACCTTTCCCAGGATCCCACTGCAGATCTCTCACCTTCATTACTTCTTCCTGAGACCAGCTCAAGACCAAATAATGGGAAAGGAAAACTTCTGGGAGCAGAAAAGAATCTAAAAATGCCTGCCCAGTTTGAGCAGGAATGAGCTTGTTGCTCCAACTTAATATATGGAGAGCTTTAAAAGGAGGAAGGGATCCTCTCAGACCCACTAATGTTGACTGAAATTGAGAAAGAGGAAAGCAGCCCTGACATCCAGGGGCCATCCTGGATAGTCATCAGCTAGGACTGGGTGTTGCTGCAAGTCAGCCCAACATGCACAGAGAACAGCTTATGTCCTGTCCAATGTTAATGATTCCCCAGAACACCAACATCAGATGAGGTCCTCAGTGATTGATGAATCAAGACGAAAAGTGGAACACTCTGTAATCATGTCTGAACAAAGACAAATCATGCACATTTCCAAGCCACGAAAATGACCAAACACCCCTCAGTCCCAGCTAATACAAGTGACCGCTGCTTCTTTCCCAATGACAGCATTAGCCTTGCCAGAGTCTGCCTTCTCTATAGACAAGACTTGTTAAGATCGCAACTGCATAATTACCCTCACTTCCTGAGAGCATCCAATCTGAAGAAAAACCCCACATCCTCAAACCCTATTCAAGTCACCTAACACGAGACCAATCCTATAATAAGCCTTTTCTAACACTCTCACTAAGACATTCCAAGGTTCCCCATGCTGTGCACTTTCTTGTCCCAGTGAGTAATAGAACCACTTGTTTAACTACAGGTGCATTCCTGTTGATCTTAGGCCCTTAGGAGGGCATTGACGGTAAACTACTTATTTGTGTGCATTCATGAAGTGAGCTATCAACTCCTTAGGCTTATAGTTCCCAAACAACTAAAAAGACTGAAACAAAATTATCAATCAAATACTAATGCACTATAAAACTAATAATAATTATTATTATTTATAATTAAGTTATTAATAATCATGATTTTTTTTTTTGAGACAGATTCTCACTCTGTCACCCAGGCTGGAGTGCAGTGATGCAATCATAGCTCACTGTAACCTCTGCCTTCCAGGCTCAATAGATCCTCCCACCTCAGCCTCCCAAGTAGCTGGGACTAGAGACATGTGCCACCATGCCCAGGTAACTTTTGTATTTTTTGTAGAGACAGGGTTTTGCCAAGTTGCCCAGGCTGGTCTCAAACTCCTGGGCTCAAGTAGTCCACTGGCTTTGGCCTCCCAAAGGGCTGGGATTATAGGCATGAGCCACCACACCTGGCCAACGATGATTATTGTTACTGTTTATTCACCCAAACACTGCTGTAGGTACTGTCCCTGCCTCTCTGATTCAATTATCACAACCTCCCTGAGAAATAAATTCTGCATCCATTTAAAATTGGGTTTGACTGCATGTAATAGAAAACCCAAATAACATAGATCTACGAAACAAAAGGGTTTGTTTATCTGTTAGCTTTTGCTACATAAAAAATACTTATTAGCTTAAGTAGCTTAAGTGCGTCACCCTCCAGGAGGTGGAACATAACTCCCACTCCTTAAGCACGGGCTGCATGGAGTGACTTTCTTCCAAAGAGTATGGCGTTGAATGGAGGACAGAAACAGTGATTTTGCAGTGGAGAAACGTGCCAGCAATCAAGGTCAACATCCACAGTGAGAAGTCGTATTGATAGAATGTCCCCCCATCTGAAGCGATGACATTGACACTTCACCTCTGCGGTCTTCCTCCCTAAACACATCACCCCTGTCTAATCACAAGAAAATCACCAGAAAAATCCCTATTGAGGAACATGTTACAAAATACCTGACCAGTTGTCCTCAAAACTATGAGGTTCATCAAAAACAAGGAAAGTCTTTGAAACCGTCACAACCAGGTGGAGCCTAAGGAGACACAACTAAATGTAATGTGGGAGCCTGGATGGGATCCTGGAACAGAAAAGGGGTATTAGGGAGAAACTGAGGAAATCTGAATGAAGTATGGGCTTTTCAGTTAATAATGACAGTATGGCTCATTCATTGTGACATATGTACCATGCCCTAATATAAGATTTTTTGGTTTTAATATGTATCATACCCTAATATAAGATTTTCTGGTTTTGGTTTTCGGGTTTTTTTACAGACAGGGTCTTGCTCTGTCACCCACACTGGAGTACAGTGGTGTGATCATAGCTCACTGAAGCCCCAAACTCCTGGGCTCAAGTAATCCTTCCACCTCAGCCTCCTGAGTAACTAGGACTACTGGTATGCCATGACACCCAGCTCAATTTTTTATTTTTATTTTTGTAGGAAGAGGGCCTTGCTCTGTTGCCCAGGCTGGTCTCAAACTCTTGGCCTTAAGTGATCCTCCTACCTTGGACTCCCAAAGTGCTGGGATTACAGGTGTAAGCCACCTCGCCTGGCCTATAAGATGTTAATAATAGGAGAAACTGGGTGTGGGGTATGCAGGCACTCTCTGTACTATCTTTGCAATGATTCTTACATCTAAAATTGTCCTAAAATAAAAGGCTGACTTAAAAAAAAAAAAAAAAAAAAAAAAAAGTCAGGGAAGAGTCAGCCCAGGGCTGCTGCAGTCTCTATGGTATCATCAATGTTTCAGGTTCCTTCCAGCCTCATGTTGCTTCATCCTTATCATGTGTCTTCATCCTGAAGGTCACTTCTTGATCCTAGATGGCTGCTGGGGCTGCTGCCATAATGCCTGAGTTCCATATAGGAAGAAGGAGAAAGAAGAGTATATGGGCTTTCCTCCCAGATGCATTGGCCCCCTCTAGGGATAGTCCTCAGAAGTCTCTCACTGAATAACTTCCACTCGCTGGCCACCAGTAGCTGTAAGAGAGGCTGGGAATAAAGTCTTACTTAGCTAGATATATCACCATCGGGAATAAAATCAGGGTTTGGTCAACAAAAAACAGGAAAAGAAGGGAATTGCATAGGCAATCAGCAGTCTATCAGGTGCTATTACAATTCCATTTTAAAGATGAACAAAACTGAGGCTTAGAGAGGTTGAGTGATTTGCCCATAGTCTGAGGACTAGGCCAAGAGGAAAACACATTTGAAGTCAGAAATTATGAGTTTTAAGCCTGCATCCCTAAGCATTAAGCTATGCTGCCATATCATCAATGCAACAATATTAATTAATTAATGATATGGTTGATGTTGCTTTGCTAAACCAGAGTTGCCACCAGCAGTGTGAATGTGGGACACTCAATTGCGATGCCATTTTGTTTGGGTTTGTCACGCACTTCCACCCAACTCTGCATGCTGATGATGGCTTTGTTCTCCCACCATTTGGCACCATTTCACCCATGGTGAAATTTCTCCCCACCCTGTACTTCTGCATCACTGGCCTTCACTTAGCAGGAATTCATCTTTACATATCAAAGCCACCTCTGCCATTTTCTCCTCCGATTACAATGGTAAAGTGTAGTGGGCAAGATCACAGGCTCGCTGTTAACATTGCTTCAAGTTACTTAACCTTAACCTCTCTGCACCTTGACTGCCTGATCTGTGAAATGGGGATGCTGATGGCATTTATCTTATAGGGTTGTTGTGAGGATTAAATAAAATTTTAAAAAATAGATAAAAAATGCAAAGCGTAGTGCCTGGGCCATAGTTAGTTCTCAACAAATGCTATTATTTGCTGCCAGTGTGATCCCAAGTCCAAACGCAAGCTCAGGCAGGACTTACCTGTGGCTCTGCAGATGATTCATGATATGCTTGAGTTACATGTTTAGGATTATCATCAAAATGAAAGCAAACAGTTTAAAAATTCCTCTGGAGAACTCATTAGCCACTACCCCCAATTCACCCTCCTTAAATTTAGAGCAAAAAGCAACACTTTTTTAGATCTGGCCCAGACTCTAGTTCTGCCATGAACTTGTGGTATGACCCTGCACAAGACTCTGTCCCTCTCTGGGCTCAGTTTACTCAGCCCCCTCCTGGGCCATTGATGCTGTTGCCAAGGCCAAATGTGACAATTGGTTGGGAAAGAAATCTGTGATCTGCCAAGTGCCTGGGGACCCTGTTCACCTGGGGTAAACAGGTCCTGGTGATAATTAGAAATAAGCTTCCTAACCCAGGAAATTTTCCCTCTGAGGGCTGGGATTTGCAGGGCCCAGCTCTCCCGGGTCTGTCCTAAACCTGTTGTGTGGCTTTAAGTAAAGCCTTTCCTCTCTCTGATCCTTAGTGTCCCCATCTGCTTACTAAGGTGCCCCCTGGTTCCATCCCAGACAGAGAAGTTAAGTGATTTGCCCAAGGTCACATGGCAGTACATCATGAAGAACCAGACTCTGGGTCCAGTGCTCTTTCTGCCCAGAACTACTCCACAGAGGGCCACTGCTCCATTGCACAGTCTCCCCTTAACCCCCAGCAGTGCTGTCTCCCTAGTCACCACATTGGCCAAGGTGAACTGGGTGGCAAACACCGAAAAACTGACTAACCAAGGAGCCCAGCAGTGGATTTATTGAAAGGCATTTCCAGGATGAGGGAAGAGCAAACCCCCAAAACGAGTACTCTTGTGGGAAGAACAGGAAAAGGCATCTCTGGGGAGCTCAGGGGCAGGGCCTGTGGCTTTCCTCTCTAGGGTGCTGGCCAGGAATGATGCATCTCCAGCCACTCTCTGTCTGTGTGCCCCATTCAAGTTTCAAATTTCCAATAGAGACTGTTGAGTGCCCAGCCTGCCGTCAGGTGTCTGTTAACACCAGTGAATCAGCTATGGTCAGAGGATTGCGTGCACAATTCAGACATGGCCAGTGGGAACATCACAGTGATAACCACCCCAGTTTGTGTCCATGACACACATTCCCACCTCCAGGCATGTGCACAAGCCATTGCCTTCCTCTAGAGGGAAACAGGAAGTAGTTCTCAGAACTGGGAACAGAAATAAATGCATATTTTCATTTTCACAAACCTGCCTGTGGGTTTACCACTTATAAGCACTGTGATACTCAGAGCCTGGCTTTAGGTGGTTGCACAGGCAGGGATTTGGAGGGAAATGAACTAATTTTGTTTTCCCAGAAATGCACGCATGCCTTGCTCAGCCTACAAACGTCTGTCTCTAAGAAAACCAAACTTTCTCACCCTGGGAGGCTCGGCCCTGTTGCCCCTTCCAGCAGGCACAACCAAACTCACACACTAGAAATGGTGATCATGATGATAACACAACTAGCTAACATTTTCTCAGTCACTCTACTAGGTATCTGACCTGCATCTCTCCTGTAATAGGAGGTATTATTAATAGCCCCGTTTTATGGGTGAGAAAACTGGGACTCAGAGAGCTTGAGTAACATATTCAAGGTCACACAGCTAGTGAGAAGCAGAGCCGGAATTTGAATCCTCATATAGTTAGAGCTGCAAGGGCCCCCCCAAACACATCAAGAACACAAGACCCTTTAGCAGATGGGGAAGCTGAGGCCCATGCAGAGGAAGAGGTTGGATACATGCATTTACAGTGCTCCCGCCAAGAGTTTCACCTTCATTAGCTCATTGACCATTGGAGGAAAGCATCCCTACTCCCATCTTATACATGTGGACACTGCAGCTCAGCAAAGGGGAGTCCCTCAACCAGGGTCACATAGCTGGTGAGTGGCAGAGTTGGGATTCTAGCCAGGCCCAAGGTTGTGATTTTTCCTCTCTTCCCTGGGGTCTCAGATTCAGGCCTGGCTCGTGCACCCTTGGCCCATGCTCTGCTGTGGGGGTGAGGGCCTGCACCAGTGGGGAGCCTGCCTGAACTCGCTGCTTGGGGAGCCGAGGGTAGATAGTGGGTAGCCAGGAGCTGGCTCTCTGGGAGTCCTGATGAGCAGGGGTTGGCAGAGGGGCAGGTACTACAGCCTCCTAAGAGAGGAGAGGCTGGGACTCGCGACACCTCCAGAGCTGGGACAGTTTCTGCCTGATGTCGCCTCCCTTCAGGAACCACGCCTCAAGTCCTCTGTGCTCTCTGAGCCTCAGTTTCCCCATATGTACATGGGGGGGGTGGGCTTAGTGGTTGCTAAGCACTCTTTTAGCTCTCACACTGTAGGATTCTAGTATGCCCGTATCAGTCATCTATTGCTACATAACAAATTATCACAAACTTAGTGACTTAGCACCCATTTATTTTCTTACAGTTTCTGCAGGTCAGAAGTCCTGGCATGAAATGATTGGCTTCTCTGCTTAGGTCTCACCAGGCTGAAATCACCGTGTCAGCTAGGCTGTGATCCTTTGTGCGGCTCAGGGTCCACTCTAAGTTCCTTTGGTTGTCAGCACAGTTCAACTTCTTGTGGTTGCCGGTCTGAGATGCATGTTTCCTTGCCAGCTGGGAGCTGGAGGGCCACTCTCAGTTCCTAGAGGTCACCTTGGGTCCTAGCCTTCTTTCATGTCCCTACTTTCCCCACATCCCACGTCCAATACATCCCCTGTTGGCTCCACATTCGGGGTAGATCCAGAAAGATCCAGAATCCCACACCCCTCAGCCCCCACCGCCTCCACCCCAGTCCAACTCCTTCATCTCCTGCCAGGACTATTACAGTAGCCTCCTCCCTGCAGCCCTGCAGCCCATTCTCCACTTGGTAGCTGGAGATGGGGGAAGGTGTTAAAATGCAAGTCTGATCCTGTCCCACCTCTGCTCAGATTCCTCCCACGGGTTCTCAGAGGAAAAACCAATGTCCTCAGCCAGGTGCAGTGGCTCTCACCTGTAATCCCAACACTTCAGGAGGCTGAGGTGGGCGGATCACCTGACGTCAGGCATTTGAGACCAGCCTGGACAACATGGCAAAACCCCATCTCTACAAAAATATAAAATGGGCGTGGGGGCACGTGCCTGTAGTCCCAGCTACTTGGGAGGCTAAGCCGGGGAATTACTTTAATGCAGGAGGCGGAGGTTGCAGTGAGCCGAGATTGTGTCACTGCACTCCAGCCTGGGTGACAGAGCGAGACTCCATGTCAAAAGAAAAAAATACCAATGTCCTCACCATGATGTATGTGACCCTATACCATCTAGCCTCATTCCACATGGAGCACACCTCCTAGCCCTCTCCCCTCACGTCCTTCACTCCCTCCTTGATGGCCTCCATGCTGTTCCTCAAACACTCCAGGCACATACTGACTCTGTTTCCTCAGCCCAGAACACTCTTCCCTGCAGACACCCCTTACCTCCTTCTGGCCTCTCCTGAAATATCACCGAGCCGGTGACACCTTATCTGACCATCCTGTTTAAAAGCATGAGATCTGCTTCTAATAAAGCTACCCTTACCACGAGGTCCAGCAATTCCACTCCGTGGTAGTTACCCAAGAGAAATGAAAATATGCATCCACACAAAGAGTTGTTCACAAATGTTTATAGTAGCTTTATTTGTAATAGCCAAGAAATGGGAACAACCTGTATGTCCGTCAACAAGTTGGATGAATAAACAAAATACAGTGCATCCACACTGTGGAATACTACTCGTCAGTAAAAAGGAACAAGCTACAGATACACTCAGCAACACGGGCGAATCTCAACCAAGTCCATGATGCTGACTGAGAGAAGCCAGATTCCATTTGCATGAACTCTGGGAAAGACAAAGCTGATCTACAGTGAAAGAAAACTGATCTGTAGTTTCTTCGGGTGGGAGCGGGTGGGAGTCAGGGGCTGACTGTGGGGGGCGTGAAGGAACATGGTGGGATGATACAGGAATTCTAGCACTTGTCTGTAGTGCCATACAACTGTCAAAATGCATCCAACTGTACACCTAAAATGGGCCAATTTTATTGTTTATCAATTCAACCTCAATAAAAAAAGGAAAAAAAATCTCTAGTTCCCCATCCTTCCCTGCTTCATTTTTCTCCTTAGCATTTTCACTCTGGCAAGTATTGTCTGTGTCCCCTCTGGAATGTCAGCTCCTCGAGGGCAGGGATTTTTATCTGTTTTGTTTTCTGTTGCATCTTCAGTTCCTAGAAGAGTGTTTGGCACACAGTAGGTGCTCAATGGATATTGATGAATGAAGGAATGAATTCAGTCCCTGCAGGCTGATTCATTGACAGGGATGGCTGTTTTGGAGTGTCCATACACCCACCTGGAGGCTGCAGAACAAAGGCGAGATGGGAGGGCCTGTGAGACTGTGGGCAGTGGCATCATTCCATCTGAGGCCGTGTCATTGCTCAGGCATTTGGACGACGCCATTCCCGGGGCGGTGTCATGCCCACCAACCACCTTGGCGGGTGGCCCAGCCCAGAACCTGATGTGCGTTAGCTGGGATTTCCTTTGGGTGCTGTGTGTGTGGAAACCCAAATATGACCGTAGAGGGTGGAGCCACAAAACCAAGCTGGGCAGAGCCCACAGTGTGGCATGAGGTTGCCCGGGGGCGGTAGCTGGCTGGGCCTGCAGGCTTGCTTGTCCGTCTCTGTTTCAGGTTTCTTGTCTACTTTCACTTTACTTTAAATGTATTTTTATTTTTTCTGCACAGATAACACATTCACATGATTCAAAATTCAAAAGGTGTGCAAAGTAGTGAGTCTTGCCTCCCACCCTTGAGCCCAACCCTCGGGTTCCCCTCCCCAGGGGCAGCCAGCATGCAGGGTTCCCAGGATAATTCTCCAGGGTTCTGTGCCAGTACAAGAGTACATGGACATGTGTTCCTGCTTCCACAAGCAGCAGCACACTGTGGGTATCATGCCACAACTTGTTTTGTTCACTGACCTGTGTTGTGTATCTTGTGATTCCACATCAGGTGTTTGCAGGACATCTTTTGAGGGCTGCCTAGGATTCCCTTGCGTACCTGGGCCTGAGTTTCTTTAGCCATTTCTCAAATAATTTCCAATTATTTGCTATTGTAAGCAATGATATAATAAATAACTTAAATGCTTGGTATATGGGGGTAATTTTACATGTAAGTTGTTACTTGCCCACATTTAAACGGTGAGAGAATAACATGCCAAACATTTTTTGCAGCCTCACTAATCAGGAGAACTTGGAAGCTTTGGCCCCACTAAGTCCGAGATCCTGGATTACAGCAGACTGGGCAGGGCCTCTCCATTTACCTCCGTCCCACCCCTGATTTGCCAACAGGAACACTGGAGACACAGACAGGGAGTGACACACCTACCCAGGGACACAACACATGCCAGCGGGGCTTGGACCCCAGAGGGGTGAGTGCCGGGGGCCTCTGCCCTCCCTGGCTGTAACCTCAGTCACATGGCTTCCCGCTTCTGAGACTACGCTGGAGGAAATGGGAACCACGCCCACTTCATCATGATGCCCCCTCCCAGGAACGAACTCCCCTGGAGCAGCTGGCTCTGTACTGGACATACAGTTGGTGCTTGGGGCTTGGTAGGTGTTCATTAGCTAGTTTATATATACATTATTCTTCCAATGGTTTAGATGTGTAAATATTGACAACAAATTACCTTTTTTTTGAGACGGAGTCTTGCTCTATTGCCCAGGCTGGAGAGCAGTGGCACAATCTCGGCTCAGTGCAACCTCAGCTTCTGGGCTCAAGCGATTCTCCTGCCTCAGCCTCCCGAGTAGCTGGGACTACAGGTGCCCGCCACCATGCCTGGTGAATTTTTGGATTTTTAGTAGTGACGGGGTTTCACCATGTTGGCCAGGCTGGTCTTGAGCTCCTGACCTCATGATCCACCCACCTGGGCCTCCCAAAATGCTGGGATTACAGGTGTAAGCCACTGTGCCCAGCCTACAGATTACATTTTTTAAAACCTGTGCAATGTATACAATGCTAGTCCTGATAGTGCCCCAGTGCCCAGGATTAAGGGATTTGTCCTATTAGCAGACACTGAGGTGGGGGTGGCCCAGCAATCCACACAGTATAGAAGTAGCAAAGGTGGGATTTGAACCCAGGCCACCTGGCTCCAGGTGCTCATAGTCATCACATCTTATCAGAGACCCGGGGCACTGGTGGTTAAGGGAGGGCACTGTTTGATAGTGAGACCACACACACACACACACACACACACAAACACAAACACACACACGTGCACGCGGTGACAGGACAGGGCTGGGCAAGACTTGGGCCTGAATCATAACTGCAACGTAACCTCAGTGAGGCAGTTGTCATCTCTGAGCCTCAGTGTCCTCACCAGTAAAGTAGCTACTGAGCAGGGGTGAAATTAGAAACAAACCAAGAAAAAGATTTGCAAGCTGCAAGGGCTGCAGGCCTGTAGAGGATGAAGGGATTTATCCTGCCGGTGGACACTGAGGGAGGAGGGACAATAGGTGGGGAGGGAGGTCTGGGACATCCAGCATGCCCTGTTTGCCCTTAAGAACCTTCCAGGACTGCCTGGCCCAGCTGTCAGGTGGCCTTGATCCCAGCCCGGCACCAGGCTGGCAGGCTCCAGACAGAGCCCCCTGGCTCCAGCTTGGCACCCCAGGGAGGGTAGGGGCCCAAGCTAGGGGCTGAGCTAGGCTATTTTCAAACGCCAGAAGGCCAAAGGGAAGGCCCCAGCTCCCTTCTTCCTACATAGGCCCCCTCCACAGCCTGGAGTACTCCTTTCCTGTCCTAGAACCTCCCTAGAGACCACAAATGCCTCACAGCTCAACTGGAGAAACCAAGGAACAGAAAGGATCGCCCAGCTAGAACTTGAACCCAGACCTCCTAATTTCCAGGAGCTAGTTCTTTCCAGCATTCACTCACTCATTTTCACTCATTTCTTTATTCACAAATGTTTATGGAATGCCTACTCTTCCCCTGAGGCTGAGGACACAGCCTAGAGCAAGGCCAAGTCCCTGCCTGCTGAGCTGCACTCTGGTGAGAGATCCAGAAGAGAAACAGACAATGTGGCCTCTGGTTAATATAAGCCAGGAGGTGATATGTGCTAGGAAGAGAAATAAACCAGGCCAGGGAAGTAGAGACTGCTGGATGCTGACTGCTTAGCTGGAGGGGCAGGGGGGTTGTGGTGGGTTGGTAGGGAAGGCCCCTTTGAAGAGGCAGAGATGGAAATGAAGTGACAGAATGAGTCATCAGAATATCTGGGTAGGGTCGATACTAGTAAAGGCAATGGCAAGTGCAAAGGCCCTGAGGTGGGAATGTGTCCAGGGTGTTCCTGGAACAGGAAGGAGGCAGCATGGCTGCAGCAGAGTAGGTAAAGGGGAGACTGGAGGAGTAACAAGGTCCCCGATCATGAGGGCCTTGTGGAGCAGTTAGGCCTTTCGGTTTTATTTTAGGCTGCCTGGCAAGACAGACCCTCACATTGTTCAAAGGCTCCAGCAGCCCCACACCATCTGGCCCTGGTGCTTCAGGCCCAGCCCCACCCACCTTCTCTGTGTTCCTGGAATCTACTCCTCCCACCACAGGGCCTTTGCACATGCCCTCCATCTAGAATCATTTTCCACTCCTATCTTTCTTCTCCTCGTTGTCTCCTACCTACCCTTCACATCTCAGCTTAAATATCTTTGGCTTCTCAGATCAACCTGGCCAGGTCAGCAATCTCTCCTTCCGGAATCTACTCTCAATGGTCATACAATTATTAGGATGATCAATTAACATCTGTCTACAACCTAGGCTGTGAGCTTCACAAGAGCAGGTGTTTTGGTCCATTTTGTTCACTGCAATATCCTCGGGGTGGGACCAGTAGTTGGTATATAGGAGGCCTCAATAAATATGTGCTGCGTTTGTAAACAAATGAGTAGCACAAGCACTTTATAAAGATCATCTCGTTTCATTCAATTTTATCCAATTTACGGAAGCTCAGAGAATGAGACAACTTGACTAAGGTCAGACAGCAAGGACGGAAGAGCCAGGACTGCAGCCCAGAGTTTTTTTTATTTCCAAAACTGAGAACTGTCCCTAGTTCTTTACCTGCACACACAGGTAAGTTGTTTGAAAATCAGCTACAATAATTCCTCCATATCTGTACTCATGCCCTGTGTAATGTGACTAAGAGATGGATTCTAAGCCAGGCGCGGTGCCTCATGCCTATAATCCCAGCACTCTGGGAGGCCAAGGCGGGCAGATCATGAGGTCAAGAGATCGAGACCAGTCTGGCCAATATGGTGAAACCCCATCTCTACTAAAAATACAAAAATTAGCTGGGCGTGGTGACACGCACCTGTAGTCCCAACTACTCAGGAGGCTGAGGCAGGAGAATTGCTTGAACCAGGAAGCGGAGGTTGCACCGAGCCAAGATCGCGCCACTGCACTCCAGCCTGGGCGATGGAGCCAGGCAAGCCGGGCTTGTTTTCAAAGAACAAAAACACAACCGAGAGAGAGAGAGAGAGAGTCTATTTCTCCATCCTTTGAATCTGACTTGACATGTCACTTGGGCTATTAGGACATTTATAATCTTGACACAAGTAGAGGCTCAAAATGCACTGTGCGTTGGAGCTTATCTTCTCTTGCTGAATGTGGAACCCTGAGGTCACCATAAGCATGAGCCCAAGCCAGCCTCATCAAAGCAAATGGAGGCACCCCAGCAAACAGCCTGCCAACTGCTAAGCATGTGAGTGAAGCCCTCCCAGAGCCCCCACCCTCAGCTGACTGCAGCAAGGCAAGTGAACCCAGGTAAAACCAGAACTGCCCAGCTAAGCCCAGGCCAGACTGCCACTTCACACAGGCTAATAAGTGGTTTTAGGCTTCTGGGCTTAGAGTGGTTTGTTATGCAGCAGAGCCTCACTGATCCACATACCTGGTGGACACACCCTCTGCAGACAACACACTCTCAAGGGTACACAGATATGCCTTCATAAATGGCCTCCACAGAAAGTCTGTTGCTGCCACACTGACACACACCCCTTGCAGGCCACACACACACACACATACACACAGCCATCACTCAACCCCAAACACCCCTTTATTTAGACAACTTTCCTGGCCGCTTGCATGTCAATGTCAATGCCTATCTGGGAATGGGTGAGTCAATACTGCCCAAGCTCTATGTCCCTGGCACTGCCCAGCCCAGGGTTGGGCGTGGAAAAGGCGCCCAGTAGATTTGTGTTGAATGAATGGATGAATAAAGCGAAGGGCATGGAATGAGCCAGAGGTTAGCACCAGTGGGTAGACAGGAGAGGACGAGGCAGATACAGGATGAGGTGGGGACAGGAGCTGGGCATCTGGATGTGAGAGACAGTGCAGTGTGTGGTTAAGAACCCAACTGCATAGGTTCAAATACTGCCTCTGCCGCTTATTAGCTGTGTGACCCTGGCCTTGGACTCTCCTGGCCTTAGTTTCCCCATCTATGAAATTGTGATAAAAATATGACCCCTTTCAATGGGTCTTTGGGAGGATTTGATGGGACAATACATGGAAGTTCTTCGCACAGCCCTTGGAACATAACAGCCGTTTACTGCCCTTACCCACCAAGACCCTCTTCGTCCTATGGTACTTCCTCTGGGAAACCCGCTCCCCAGCTCCCATTGCTCCGCTGCAATCCACAGCCTCCGCTCTATCCCACAGCTCTTGTGAGCCCCTCAAGGGATGGGGAGATCATTGCTCTATACCCAGCAGCCACAACACAGCCCCAGACAACATGGTTAAGGAGTGATTGCAGAATGACAAAATGATCCTCATTTTACAAATAAGTAAATCTGGGCTCCCTGAGGTCCTGAGATTCCTAGAGGTGCTGAGGTGTTCCCCGGTAAATGCAGAGGCTGGGGGTGTGGAGCTTCAGTTTTCATCCCTCTTGGAAACCCACATGGGCAGGGATATCCCCTATTTGGCTACCTTCCCACTCTGCCTAGCACAGCTCCTGGCACATAGTGGATGCTCACAAATCTTTATTTTACAGATTGTATTTGAGATTCTATTTTAAAAATTGGCTCCAGTTTTTTTTAAATGGATGGGGATGCTTCTTTAAAAGCACTTGAAGAGTTTCAGGATGTGTAATGTTAACTATGGGGAGACTGAGGGTGTCAAAGAATTAAGAGAATTAAGGATGGGTTAAGAGGAAACAGCAAATGAAAAAAAGCAAAGCGAGTAGTAACTCCAGGAAGAACAAAGAGTTGTACAAGAAAGGAAATGTAACCAAAATATATGACTTGGCTTGAAAGGAAACAGTATTTACATAGTCATAATATAAATAACACTAAAATCCACTTCACAAAAAATTGTGATAAATGCCAATTGAAAGGGGGGAACCAAAAGCTAAATCTTTCTTGATAATAATGATTATGAGAAGAAAAAGTTTGACTACTCACTGGGTGATGTTCATTATTCTCAGCCTTTTACATCTTGAATCCGTATAACAATCCAATAACCTCAGCACTATTATTATCACCCTCATTTTACAAATGAGAAAACTGAGGCCCAAGGAGGTTAAGTTACTGCCCAAGGTCATACAGCCAGAAAGAGGAAGGGCTGGGATCCAAAGCCAGGCAGCCAGGCAGTGGAGGCCACACTATGAAAACATCAGACCAGAAAGTCAGTCAATATGTGCCTAAAATTGGTCAGACACACTGGCTCACGCCTGTAATCCCAGCACTGTGGGAAGCCAAGGTGGGTGGATCACTTGAGGTCAGGAATTCAAGACCAGCCTGGTCAACATGGTGAAACCCCATCTCTACAAAAAATACAAAAATTAGCCAGGCGTGGTGGCACACACCTGTAGTCCCAGCTACTTAGGTGGCTGAGGCAGGAGAATCGCTTGAACCTGGGAGGCAGGGGTTACAGTGAGCCAAGATCACACCACTGCACTCCAGCCGGGGCAACAGAGCAAGATTCTGTCTCAAAAAAAAAATAAATATATATGTGTGTGTGTGTGTGTGTGTGTGTGTGTGTGTGTGTGTGTATGCCTAAAATTGATCAAGAAAACAGCAGGAAAAGCAAGTTATTTAAAAATATGGAGGAAAGTACCAGAAGAAATAGTTTAAGAAGTTGTAAGTGGTTGCTTTTGGGGAGCGAGGCTGATGTAGAGGAAAGGACAAGGGATGCTGCTTGTTAGTACTGATATATATGGATATAAAAATATGTCCATGGTGGGCAGGCAGCAATCGGCAGGAGAGCGATGCAAGGAAACTTTCTGAGGTGATAATGCTTGATACCCTGATAGGGGTTTGGGGTACAGTATGCATTTGTCTAAATTCAGCAAATGGCACCTTTAAGATCTGTGCATTTCATTCCATGTAAATGTTACCTAGAGAGGAACAAGACAAACAAATATTGAATTCTAGCTAATGGCATGCACACTAAAGTGACTTTAAGGGAAGTGTACTGATATATGCAACTTAATTTGAAAAGCTTTATTAAAAAATAAGTTGTATTAAAAAAATAAGTTGTATTAATGGATGGAGAGATGGGTAGATTCCTGATAGAGCAAATATAGTGAAATATTAACAAGTGTGCATTAGTAGGTGGGTATATGAATGTTCACTGTCTAATTCTTTCAACTCTATGTTTGAAATTTTTCTTAATAAAATGTTGGAAGAAATATATGAGTGAATTATCTGAAAAATAATATTACCTTTTATTTTATTTTTATTCTACTTTAAGTTCTGAGATACATGTGCAGAATGTGCAGGTTTGTTACATAGATATGTATGTGCCACGGTGGTTTGCTGTACCCATCAACCAATATTACCTTTTTAAAAACCTGGATGGGGTGTTCACTCCTTTTTTTTTTTTTTTGAGAGGGAGTCTTTCTTTGTCACCCAGGCTGGAGGGCAGTGCTATGATATTGGCTCACTGCAACCTCCACCTCCAGGGTTCAAGCGAATCTCATGCCTCAGCCTCCCAAGTAGCTGGGATTATAGGTGTCCGCCACTATGCCTAGCTAATTTTTGTATTTTTAGTAGAGACGGGATTTCACCACGTTGTCCAGGCTGGTCTCAAACTCCTGGTTTCAAGTGATCCGCCTGCCTTGGCCTCCCAAAGTGCTGGGATTACAGACGTGAGCCACCGCACCCGGCCGGGTGTTCAGGCCACCCAGATGGACCAGCACAACTGTAAGCCCTCCTATATGCACATCTAATTGGCAGCCAGCTGCAGCCATGCTCTCATCTATATCCTATGACCCTACCCTGGGGTCCTAGAGTCAAGGACCTATAGCCAAATTCCTCAACCCTTTCCTGGTCCCCTGTACACAGGATATCAGGTAAGATGGGGGTGGGGGGTCTCCTTAAATGTTTCAGTAGCAGGAACAGAACTATTTAACCAAGGACAGGGAACAGGCCTCTGCAGCTACACTCCATCCTCTGCCAAAAGGGTAAACTGAGGTCTGTGGGGGGGGGGCTGCCTTTCCCAGGGCCCATCCACCTTCATGATAGAAGTGAGCAGCCAGGTTGCCTGGTTCCCAAATCCACGTGTATATAATTAGCTGGTGGGAAATGGATCAGAGAGCAGATCCCATCTCTGCCTAATTAGGGGCTAGGCAGCTGGGGCCAGGCTGGCCTGGGGGAGCTGCTTCGGAGGGCTGGGCAGCCCCAGGAGACAGGGCAGCAGCTGCAGGCCCTCCGAGGGCTCACACTCCAACTGGAGGCAGAACAATAGAGGGGCTGTTTCCACAGATCCCCAAGGCTGCAGGGTTGGGGGAGGGAGGAGTGCAAAAGCCCCCCGCCCTGCTCCCTCCACAGAGGCCTGCAGGGAAGGCGGGAGGCTCCAGAATCCTGGAACAGGGGGAGCCCTCCCAAGACCAAGCCATAACCATTGGAGAAGACTCAATCTGGCACCTTCCCCACTTCCAAGAATCCCTCCCTGCTCTCTCCCCAACAGACCCTCCCAGTGGATTTATGGAAAGGCGTTCTCTTTTCAGCTATCCCCTGGTCCAGCTCCTGGGAACAGCTCTGGTTTTAGGGCAGAAGTCCCTAAGTATACCTGCTTTACATTCTATGATTATTTATGTGCTGAATGTTTAGTTGCCCATTCTCTTCTCCAGACTAGGACAGGGGCCATGTCTGTCTTATCCACTGCTGGGCACCCAGTAGATGCTCAGTAATAAAGTGACCAGAAGAAAAGGCTGCCAAGATGAGGAAGAGTGGTGGGGTACATGCTGGGAGAACCAGGAATCCAGACTGCGATGTGTCTGGCAGGCAAGAGTGTGACCCCAGGCTGTCCTGCAGACCTGCTATGTGACAGTATACAAGTCGCTATCCTTCCCTGAGCTCAACCTCCTGCTCTGACAATATATCTGGTCCTCAAAAGGCTACCTTGAGGATTCAAGCACTGTACCCTCCTTCAGAAACAAGGTGTCACCCACCAGTCCTGTGACCTGAACCTCAATTTCTTCACATGTAAAATGCAGCCAGCCCATCCACCTTCTTGGGTTACTCGGAGGCTGCCAGGTCACAGCAAGGGGCAATGACTAGCCCTGAATTCTAGCAGGGTTGCCTAGGAAATCTAGTCTTTGACACCTCAAAGGGCACCACGTCTGCAGATCCTGCCTGGATTCTCTCTCCTGACACCATCACTCCTTCAGCATGGGGACCCTGGAGGCCCAGCTCCTGCATTGTCAAAACTGCTGGGCACCATGGGGGGTTGTGGGTAGGTCACCACCCTCCTCATGCTTGTCTCCCCACCAGTATCATGAGCTCCAGTCTCATGAGCTGGAACACCATCTTCTTCTAGAACCCAATTTTCCCTTCCTTCCCCAAACTGCCCAGGCCCATCCCAGGCCCCTGGGGGCTAGTTGTAGACAGGCAGACAGACAGAGAGATGGACAGCTGGGCTGATGTGGATGTTTGTCAACAGTCCAACGGAAATCTCCTCTTTATGCTTAAAATAAAACCTACATCAAACCTGTCACCAGGGCCCCCATTAGAGCTTCCTGTTTCTGAGTGCTGCAGCCAAGGCAGCCTGTGAAAGGAAGCGCCACCCACCCCCTCTCCACGCCCACCGTGGGGCACCAGAGAGGCCACCCCCGCTTTCGCCCTTTGTAGGCCCAGCTCTAGCCCTAGCTGCTCCACTAGCCAAGGTGGGGTGTCCTAGTAGGTAACTGACCTGGAGGGAGACTGGAAGAAGCTGAGGCCTCGAAGCCCAGTGCCAGCCCCTTCCTTCCCCTCTCCCCAGGTATTGGAATATAGCATGAAGGGCCCAGAATGCACCAGTGCCCCAACCCAAGGAGGACTGTGCTGCCTAACTCTCCCACTGAGGCCCAGAGGGAAACTGGCTTGTCCAAGATCGCCAGGGAGGCCACTCATTTTGTGCCGTCCACCCCAAGTCTCTCTTCCTCCAAAACTCCCACTTCTCATCCTCACTCTATGGTCTGTGTGACCTCAAGTTCAGGATTTGCCCTCTCCGAGCTTCCTGCCCCCTTGGGAACTGGGCAGGGCTTGGATGGAACACTCCTGGTTGGGGAGAGTCTATGCACCCCATCGGCCTTTCCCCTGCAGGCTCCCTTTCTGGTGCAGGGGAAAGACCCCATTCCTACTCCCAGCTCTATTCCAGCTCACTCATGGCTGGATCTCAGTTTCCTCCTCGATGAGGCAGGCCTGCTAGCCTTCCAGGAGAGTTATGAGAACCCACCACGGGGACATGTCTCCAGCCAGGCCAGCCGCTATCATCATGCCCCACCACTAGACCTCGGGGTGAACAATTACTGTTTTGATGGCCCCACCCCAAGACTTCTCTCACCCTTTCTCTTGTGAACACAGAAGAGTCTGAAGGCCCAGCCCTTGAGAAACAAGCATTTGTGTTTATTAACCAAGGAGAGGGAAGTCAAAGCAATGCAGACTCCTAACCAGTCCCTCCTATAGTCTGCCCACCTAGGCCAGCTGCCAAGGACTAGGAAGAGCAGTGGATAGGCCCCTCCCCACTGCCCCGACCCCAGGGTGAGTTCTGCTGGGTAAGGAAGAGGAAGTCAGCAAAGGACAGAGGCCAAGGAAGGAAGGAGGAAACAGAGCCGCTGGGGAGACAGGATTGAGGAGATCCCTTGGCCCCTCACTCACAGTGGGGAGGGCAAAGCACCGCAAATGCAGCCCCACAAGAGGAACTAAGCAGGAGTACACTCATGTCAAAAACCTTGTATTGGGGGAGGGGAGGAGGGGGTTCTCAGGTGTCCAAAGCCAAGAACAAAACCCTTGGAGAGTCAGTCCTTGCCCAACAATGCTGGTCCAGCCTCTAAGCCTTTGCCTCCATACCAAGTTCACAACAGGGTGGAGCCTCTGACACGGCCGTCTAGAGAATGGATGCAAGAGAGGTCCAGGGACCACTTGCCTCTGTAAGATCCGTCCTGTGGCGAATTCCAGGCCCAGTGGCGCCTAGCCTTCAGCTGCTGGGCTCTCCCGAGCCTGCCTTAGCCCATACAACCACTTGATCACGCGGGCATTGCGCTCCACCACCGACACGCCATAGGGAACGCGCTCCCGGGCCCGCTCCTCAACAGTCACCGAGCTGCGGCGGGAGCAGCCCCCTTCAGAGCTGCCCGGCCCAGCACTGGGCCCTGCCAGGGACACGATATCCGAGCTGGCCCGTGCCAGGTGGGCCACACCCAACCCTCTCGCCTCCTCCGGGTCCAGGCCGCAGAAGTTAAAAAAGCGCTCGAGATCAGCGGCTGCCCTAGAAAAGCGCTCGCTCAAGTCCGACTTGGAGCGTTGCAAACCCGGCGGCCGGGCTGGGCTGGAGGCGGCGGCAGGGCCGGGTGATGGGCAGGGCCGGGCAGGCGAGGCGGGCAGGGGGCGGACGTCCACCCGGCGGACCGCAGAGGTACTGGGCGGCGGTCGCGGAGGGGTGGCTGGGGGAGGACGGCCGGCTCCCTCGGCCCGTCCAGGAGTGCGGCTGGCCTCGGCAGGGGACACGGGGCTGTCACACAAGTCGATGAGGCTGCTGAGGATGTCCAGGTCCAGCTGGGGCCGTCGGCAGGGGCCAGGCAGGGCTCGGCGGCTGGGCGTGAGCACTGTGCGGCGAGTCTCAGGGCTAAAGAGCGGCTGTTTGGACAGCAGGGGCTGCACAGGCTCCTGGCGGGTGTTGGCCACGTGCAGGCTCTTGACGTACTTGGCCTTGTCGGCCTCCAGGCGCTCCACAGCGCTCGGTTTCCGGGCTCCACCATCTGCCGGCCCCCGTAGCAGGTAGCCAGGGACCCTGGTCCGCAGGCGGCAAGGTAGGGCGGGGGCGGACGGGGCTCCGGGGCTCAGCGTGTGCACAGGCATGGCTGCTGCATATCCCGAGGGCTTTAGTCTGCGGAGACCGGAGAGATGAGGAGCCAGAGATCCGGGCAGAAAGTAGGCAGCTGGACACCGGCCACTGCTGCAGGGAAGGAGAGAGAAAAAAAAAAAAAAGCCGAGCGCGCTCAGACAAAGAGGCTCAGCCGCGGCTGAGAGGATAAGACGCCCTCCCTATTATAAGGTAGAGACCACGCCCCTCCACAAGGAGCCAATCAGCAGGCACAAGGCAGCAGCTGCGGGGCCTCAGGCCCCACCCACACCCCCTCCCTCCTGCCCCGGGAGAACCAGGCCCAGCTGAGACCAAGAGAGGAAAAAAGGTGCTAGAGAAAAAAGACCTGGGCGACCTGGGCAACCTGAGCAGAAAAGACAGGGCAAGGCACGCGCTAAAGGGAGCAAGGGAGGCTCCAGGCTCTGTGCTACGCACCAGTCAACTCAACCTCAGGTCCTCTCAACAGCCCCGTTTTTTGGATGGAGAAACTGAAGCCCAGAGAGGCAAACAACTTGCTTAAGTTAACCCAGCGAGTAGGTGGCTCTGCCCCTGACCACCAAAAAGGAAGGTGCTGGCACCGGGGCGTAGGGTTAAATGACCAAGAAAAAGGGCTCCAGCCCCACACCCCACCTGGACTCCCCACAGGGAGCCTGGTACCACCTCTACCCCTCACCCATCCAGGCAGGAAGCTGCCCTGTGCCATCCACCCGCCTAGACATGCCAGGCCCCAGGCAAAGGGCAGAGCTTATAGGGAAGGAGCAAAGAAAATCTCCACCCGCGCCCCAGTGGAGTCCAGACATCCGTCAGCTTCCTGCATGGAACTGGATGGCCCACGGTGATCCACAAATGCCTGTCACGTGGAAACATCAGCCCTGAGCTATGCTGTGCTGAGAGAAGCTGGAAATGTCCAAAATCACACAGCCCTGCATGGAGGCATCCGGCAGACCCTCGATCTGCCTGCAGCCATGGAATGGGTACTCACCTGGGAGGAGGGCATACACCTGGATGCACAAGTGTCTACGTGGTCACCCAAGTGTCAGGACCTGATGCCCCAGACATCAAGCCAACCCTGACCCTGTTTCCAAGGAAGGGCCAAGCCCACAGAGTCACCCCACAAGGCCCCTTGGAGATGGGACAGAAGAAAACCCACATACCAAGTCCCAAACATTCTCATCTGTAAAATGGAGGGGGCGGGTACTTAATCTGGGTGTTCCCCAAGAAGGCTTACAGTTCAAGCCATCTAGACCCGTGCTGTCCAGCTCAATAGCCAGCAGCCACATGTGGCTATTCAACCTTAACTTTAAATTTAAATGAAATAAAAACATAAAATTCAGTTCCTGAGCTACACTAGTGGCATTTCAAGTTCTCAATAGCCACATGTGGCCAGTTGCCACTGTGTTTGGCAGCACAGAGTACAGCATTTCCATCCATGGTAGGAAGCTACATTGGACAGCCCCACCTAGACATCCAAAAATCCAGAAGGGAGTGAGTCTGGATTGGGGTGGGGAGGCAGGGATCTCTGCTGGGTGCCATCCTCCCTATAACCTCCCACAAGCCTGTGGGTCGTTGTGCAGATGGAGAAACTGAGACTCAGAGAAGTGGCTTTCCCAGGTCCCAGAATAGATAAATAAGGCACTGATCTCAATACCACGTCCTGTTTCTCCCCGGCACTCCTGACCCCCTCCCGGCACTATTCCTTTTCTCCTTATCCCCTGCACAAGTACTCTATTTGTGTATGGTTGTTTTACTCTTTGTTGTCTCTATCCCCCTAAAATATCAGCTCCATGAGGGCAGGCGTGTGTGTGTAGGGGCGGGGGTTGGCTATTTTGTTCACTATACCCCAGTTTCAAGATACTGCCCTAGACACATACTAGGGCAGAATATTCAATAAAAATTTATTGAACTGAAATATTTATGGGAGCCAGATGTGAACTGGGTGATCAGGGATGAACTAGACATCTAGGTACCCTGCCTGCTGCAGGCATATGGGTCCAAGGTGGTAGGTGTATTGTTCCAGGAAGCTGGAAATCCAGGAGTACATAAAAACTCTAGATTCTTAACTGTCAGCATATTCGATAATAATGATTAAAACATTGCATATACAGCAAACAAAATATGTCTGCGAACATATCTGTCCCCTCCTCCTCCATCTGGCCCCCAACCACCAGCTGGAGACCTCTGCAGCAGCCATGAGTTGGGAATAGATCCTTGGGTGCTGCTCCCAAGGCAGGAGAGATGGAGTGGATGGGAAAGGAAGCCTCGCTCCACCAGGGCCGACCCCCAGGAGACCTCAGGTGGGAAGGACCTGACAGGAAAGGAGCACAGCAGAGCCAGCCAAACTCTGCCCCACCCCCAGGCCGCCACCTCCCAAACCAGTCCAACCCGTCCGCAGTGGCAGTTCCCTTGCGGGCACCATCCGGATAAAGAGGGAGAAGGAGGTCAGACGGGCGGGGCCGGGGCAGAAACCCCGTGCACGACCCCGATCGGGCCCCCAGCCCCTCTGGCCCCATCTGCTGGCCCTGAGGTCCCCTCTGGCGGGGCCGGGACAGATGCGAGAGCCAACCCCGGGTTTGGCGCCGCGGGCCCGCCGGCCTTCGGCTCGCCCACCCGCCCGCTGTGCGCCTTGCGCAAGCAGCTTCGCCTCTTTACAGACTCGGTTACCTTATCCGTGAAACGAGGTTAAAAATAGACCTTCCTGAGCCTCCAGGTCACGATAAGGATGGAGAGATCAAACAGGTCGAGGGCTTTCCTCGGCATCTGGCAAAAAGGCGGAGCCACGAACCAGGCTCCTGGTCTTCAAGAAGATTTCGACTAACCAAGTCCACAGACCACCCCCACGCAGGGGTCTCTAAGCAAGCCCCACGAGGGTCTGTCCCAGCCCACACCGCGGACAAAGCAGGCCCAAGACAGAGGCTGATCGGTGAGCTGACCTCAACAGCCCCACGTCACGGGTGGGCAAACGGAGGTGCAGCGGCTCCCGCCAGGTGAAGCCAGGGTCCCAAGTCCCCAAGCGCGACTCAATGTCCCCTCTGAGGCCTCCTCTCACCGCCCAATGCCCCACCCACGGATTCAAATGCCTCCCACGGATGCCCCCAACCGCCGGCCCTTCTGGCTTGCATCCCGGGGGCGCGCATCCCCACCTGGCCCCCTCCCCACTAGCTCCCCAGCGTCAGCCTCCAGAGGCCGCGGGGCAGGGCTGGGGGGAACTCAGATCCCCAGGCTGGCTTTTGCTCTCCCTCAATTCCGGAAAAGCTTGAGGACTCCCGGTGGCGGGGGATGGGGGGTCGGCTAGCAGGGCGCTGTGTGACCCTTGCCCCTCGCCGCCCCTCCTGGCTCTCAAATGAGGGAGAGAGCGGCACCATCCCCGCGGTCCTCTTGAAGCCGAAAGGTAGATCCCTGCCCCGTTCCCGCCGTCCTGGGGTGGAGGGGTGCTCGGGCCGCCCCCTACCCCGGCTGGGCGCCCCCCGCCGCGGTCCGCACGTACCCGGCTGCGCCCGCGCCGCTGGCCTGCGCTCCTCCGGCCCGGCCCACCTGGGGCTCCGGCAAGCTGAGTTTGCGCAACTTCCGGCGGCCGCGGGCAAGTGAACCCGCTGGTCCAGGTACTACCCGAAAAGGGTAAGGAAAGCCAGGCAGGGGCCAGAACCCGAGCCCCGGCCGCCGGCAGCTGGCCTGGCTCAGGAACTGGGTCCGACCCGCTCCAGGACCACCCAGGGAAGTTCTTCCGGGAGCCGAGACCCGCCCACCGCACACCTGGCGCGCGGGGTCCCCGTGGCTCTGGCAGGCAAGCGCACCCACCTTAGAGATGGACAAACTGAGCCCCGCTCCCTGACACTCAGAACGACCGCCAGGTGATGTTCACTGTGCCAGGCACGGGAAAGTGTTTTTCTTGGTATCGGGTAACCCATTTTAATCTTCCCAACAATCACTATCTGGTGAGTTCTATTGTTACCCCATTTGACTAATGGTAAACTGAGGCTGAGAGAGGCTGAGTCACTAGCCCAAAATCACTCTGGGGAGTCCAGCCTGCGCACTTTCCCTCCAGACCAAGGCTTAACGCCACCACTTTCTAGCTGTGTGTCCCTGACCAGGCTGCGGGACCCTCCTGGTGCTCCATGCTGTCACGTGTAGAGTCCATCCCTCTGGAACAGGCTGAGCCTGAGCATGCCTCAGCTGCCTTGTGAAAACGGTTAACATCGGCAACAACAGCCGTCATAGTAACAACAATAACTAGAATTTTGGGGTGCCAGGCACCATACTCATTTAAATCCCCAGAGCCCCCTCATTTAATCCCATGAGACTGCAGCCCTGCAGGAAGGAATTCCCAGAGGGAGGTGACTGTCACCTCTTCCACCCCAAGTCCTATAACTCACTGCAGGTAGGAACATTTGATAGGCCATTTTTTCATGGGAATCCTGAGGCCCAGAGAAGGAGCTGTCCCCCAGGCCTCAGCCCCAGCCCTCTGCCACACTCAGGCTGAAGAGGCTCCTGTTCCATGTCTGTGCCTGTGGGAGCTGGGCCAGGACTAGGGTACAGGGCATGAGGAGACCGGCAGTGATGCACATCAGCTTTCCTTCCCCCTCAGCACTGCAGCCTCCTCCAGTCCCTGACTTTACAGGGGACGGGGCAACAAGTCCTTCATCCTCCAAATGGCCTGCTGAGCCCTGCCTAGCCCTCCACGGAGGCAGAAATGGGGGATGGGGAGGGAAGGCTCCTTCAGGCGCTAATAGTAGTAACAGCAAAGCAACAATAATGATTTTCGTAATAGCAAAGAAAAGAACAGTCCTTCCTTTCCAGCCCCAGCCCCGGACCCTACAGCTGCCAAGATGCTGATGCCTAAGAAGAACCGGATTGCCATTCATGAACTCCTTTTTAAGGAGGGAGTCATGGTGGCCAAGAAGGATGTCCACATGCCTAAGCACCCGGAGCTGGCAGACAAGAATGTGCCCAACCTTCACGTCATGAAGGCCATGCAGTCTCTCAAGTCCCGGGGCTGCGTGAAGGAACAGTTTGCCTGGAGACATTTCTACTGGTACCTTACCAATGAGGGTAGCCAGTATCTCCGTGATTACCTTCATCTGCCCCCAGAGATTGTTCCTGCCACCCTACATCTGCCCCCGGAGATTGTTCCTGCCACCCTACACCGCAGCCGTCCAGAGACTGGCAGGCCTCGGCCTAAAGGTCTGGAGGGTAAGCGACCTGCAAGACTCACAAGACGGGAAGCTGACAGAGATACCTACAGACGGTGTTCTGTGCCCCCTGGTGCTGACAAGAAAGCCGAGGCTGGGGCTGGGTCAGCAACCGAATTCCAGTTTAGAGGCAGATGTGGTCGTGGACGTGGTCAGCCACCTCAATAAAATTGGAGAGGATTATTTCACATTGAATAAACTTACAGCCAAAAAAGAAAAGAACAAATCTCATCTGAGCACTTTCTTTGTACCAGACACTGTTCTAAGCTCTACAAAATGTTAACTAATTTAATCCTCACACCTACCCTGTGAGGGCTACTATTATTATGCCCATTTTCAGATGAGAAAACTGAGGCTCCAAGAGGTAAGGCCACGTGCCCAAAATTACACAGCTGATTAATGGTAGAGCCAGGATTGGAACCCAGGCTCACATCTGGGGAGGGGAGGTGGAAGAGACGGTGTTTTCAGTGTTGGGCTTTGGCCACTCACCAGATGTGCCCCCCAAGGAAGTCCCAAGGAATCTACTGCCTCGTCGGCTGGACCCCAGAGGGAGAAACCACCTTAGGAAGCACTCCCTGGTCATGGTTCTGAGTCTCGGTTTCCTCTGCTGTAAAATGGGGGCAATAACGGCAATGTTTTCCCAGCAGAAATAAAGTCTCATTACTGCTGTGTTTAAACCCTCCTGTGGCTCCCTTACAATAAAATCCAAGCTCCCTGCAGTGAGCTGAGATTGAGCCACTGCACTCCAGCCTGGACAACAGAGCAAGACTCTGTCTCAAAAAAAAAAAAAAAAAAAATCCAAGCTCCCCACTTGGCCCTCAGGCCTTCCAGGACTCAGTCCTTGTCCAAATCTCCCATCTTATCTCCAACCTCTTTCCTGCTCTGGCCACAAAGCCCTCCCTGCTGTTCCTGAACATAAGGTCTTTCCTGCCTCAGGGCTTTTGCACCAGCTGTTCTCTGTCTGGAACCTCTTCCCTCACCCCCTTCAGATCTCATTTCAAATGTCATCTCCTCCAAGAGACCCCCTCAGCAATTTCACCCATTTTATTCCCTTCCGAGCACTCATTACATCCTGTCATTTTAGATACTCTTATCTAGGATAGGAAATATAACTCGTTTCCTGTCTCTCCCACTGGACCATGAGCTCCATCACACCCTTCCAATTTTCTTCCTTCAGGGACCAAACACGAGGAAATACCGTTGAACAACCGGCTGTTCTGGACCCAGCCCACCTCAAAGGCCAAGGCCACTCATCAAGAGGTATATATTAAATGTATAAAGCTTTTTCTTATATCAGTAAGAAAGAGAGAAGAAAGAAAGAGAGGAAGAAAGAAAGGAGAGAAAGTTAAACATATCTGTCAAGAATAACACAAAAGTGATGTTGTGTCCTTCTTAGTACATGGTATCAGAAGGCTTCTTTTTTCTTTTTTTAGAAATGAGGTCTCACTGTGTTGCCCAGGTTGGAGTGCACTCCATAGCTCACTGCAGCCTCAAATAGATGGGCTGAAGCAATCCTGCCACCTCAGCCTCCTGAGTGGCTGGGACTATAGGTACATTACCACACCCACTCATAACAACAGTTTGTCTTAATCTTAGTGATCAGCCAATTCCTTGGTTAAGGCAGTATCTGCCAAATTTCTCCACTGTACAGTTATTATTTTCCCTTTGTAATTAATAAATATCTTGTGAGAAGAGAAAAAAAAAAAAGGACAGGGTCCCTAAGCACCAAGCCTCCTCCCCAAACCCTCACCGTGCTCCTGGCCTTTCCAGACCTGTCCTACTCTTCCTCCAACTTCAAGTCACCCCCATTCAAGCTGGGCTCTGACCACTTCTACCCAAGTCCTGTTCTTTCTCCAAAGCCACCATATACAAACCTCTGCACACACTGGTTCTGCTGCCTGCAGTGGTCTTCACTACTCCATCCCCCTGGCCATATCTGTAAGGTATAGCATGGACTCCAGAACCCATTCAAATCCTAGCTCCACCAATGATTAGCTATGAGACCTTGGATAAAATACTCAACTTCTCCATATCTCAGTTTCCCTAACTGCAAAACAGGACTCACAACAGTGCCTCCCTCTCTGCATGAGGTCCATGCATGACAAATGTCACCAAAGTGCAGGCTATGATAACTATTCAACCAAATAGATCATCCAGTGCCCAGCTCCTGAGGGAGGGCTTCATCAGCCCAGAAAGCTGATCCACTATTCTCAGAGGTTACAAATCTAAGAGAAGCACAGGTAATGGTTAAGAATGCAGAGTCATGACTGGGTGCAGTGGCTCAAGCCTGTAATCCCAGCACTTTGGAGGCTGAGGCAGGTGGTTCACAAGGTCAGGAGTTCAAGACCAGACTGGCCAAGATGATGAAACCCCGTCTCTACTAAAAATATAAAAATTAGCCCAGCATGGTGGCGGGGGCCTATAATCCCAGCTACTCAGGAGGCTGAAGCAGGAGAATCATTTGAACCCGGGACACAGAGGTTGCAGTGAGCCGAGATGGCGCCACTGCACTCCAGCCTGGGCGACAGAGCGAAACTCTTGTCTCAAAAAAAAAAAAAAAAAAAAAAAACAATGCAGAGTCACTTGAACAGACATTTCTCCAAAGATAACAAATGGCCAACAGGCACAGGAAAAGATGCTCAACACCATTAGTCATTAGGGAAATGTAAATTAAAACCACAATGAGACACCACATCACACCCCTGAAGATGGCCATTACCAAAAAAAAAATACAAACAGAAAATAACAAGTGTTGGTGAAGATGTTGAGAAATTAGCACTTTGTGCACTGCTGATGGACACATAAAATGGTGCAGTCACTGTGAAACACAGTAAAGTAGTTCCTCAAAAAATTAAACAGAATTGCCATAGGATCACCCAGCAATTCCACTTCTGAGTGTATACCCAAAACAATTAAAAACAGGAACTCAAACAGATATTTGTACATTCATGCTCAAAGCAGCATTAGTCACAACAGCCAAAAGCAATCCAAGTGTCCATCAAGGAATGAATGGATAAACAGAATGTGGCATATACATAGAATATTAGAATAGATTATTCCGCCATAAAAAAGAAAATTCTAACACATACAACAACATGGGTGAAACTTAAAGGCATTATGCTAAGTGAAATAAGCCAGACACAACAAGACAAATACTGTTATGATTCCATTTATAATACCTAGAGGTACCCAAAGTAGTCAAATTCACTCAAACAGAAAGTAGAATGGTGATTGCCAGGCACTGGGGGGAGAGGCAATGGGGAATGTACTTAATGCCACTGAACTGTATACTTAAAAGTGGTTACAATGGTAAATTTTATTTTATATACATTTTAATTCATTCACTGCCCCACCCCACCCCCCCCCCCAAAAAATGTAAAATTTAGAGCCAGACTCTCTGGGTTCAAACTCCACCTCTAGGTTATCTTATGCAAATTATTAAACCTCTCTTGTGCTCAGTTTCCCCTCTGCAAGATGGAAATAAGAACAGCAGTAATTACCTTATATCACAGAGTTGAGGGAATTAAATGAGTTCATACTTGTAAAGTACTTAGAACATAGTAAATGCTCAAGAGGTGTTAGTGATTTTTATTCTTTGGTGAGGGGGTGGGAGGTGTGGTTTCCAAAGGTTATAATTTTCATGACATTCTACACCCAACCCGCCCCCTTCCTCCCACCTGCTTCTTTCTTTCCCTTCAGCAGAAGCCTGGCCTAGATTTGGGGAGGCCCTTGCCTGCCCCAGAGGAGATTGGGAAGGCTCCAGGCAGTGGCAAGGGGCCAGCCAGCAGGGCAGCCCCAGCTCAATTTCAGCCCAGCTGTCCAGGTCAGGGACACCCAGCTGGGCCACCTCCAGAGCCACACCAGGCCCTGAGCTATTTCTGGAGGCCTCCCAGACGCTGGTGCCCTGGCCTGCCCAGGAGTCAGCCTTGCTCAGGGTGGCCTTGCACTAACATTAGGAAGGGAGAAGGGAGTAGGCTGTGGAATGGGTGTGGATGTGGACATCTAGGCCCACTGATACCAAGTTGATCTTCTAGGCCTAGGTCTGCACTTGAGGTTGCAAAATGGGGATGAAGGATTTTGCAGTGAGGACAGAATGGAAGATAACACATGCAAGGTCTTGGGGAAGGGCCTGGCACGCAGGATTAGAAAGGGGAGGGGGAGGCAGATCCACAGCCAAGCCCACTTCCTATCCTAGACTGCCCTCTGCCCAGGCCTGAGTGCACCATCATGACTTCTTAGCTCAGCCCAGAGACTGAAGAAACTTACTCAATGTCACAGAGCAACTCAGGGACAGGGCAGTGGTTTCATGATTTATAAATATGCATATATATACACATATATACATATATACACACATACATATATATACATATATGTGTGTGTGTATATATGTGTGTGTGTATATATATATATAGAGAGAGAGAGAGAGAGAGAGAGAGAGAGAGAGAGATGGGAGGACTGCACTTCATGAAGGCTGTGTGAGTTAACCTCCTGCCTGCAGAACACACAAATGGTCCATGAACGTTAGTTTCAGTCTTGATTACTGAGGTTTTGGGCATCCCTAAATTTTGCACTGGCTCAATTGCCTCAGCCCCTGCCTTGCATCACAGTGGGAGAAGATGATACATTTGCTAATAAGTAAAAAAACCAAAACATGCAAGAACCAGAGCAGGGCTTATGAAGTCAATAAATAATATTTGTTGAAAGAATAAAAGAAAGCCTTGTTTTCTTTCTGAGTCCTCGGAGATCCTGTCCCCCAAAGCCAGGGGCAGGCTCCAGAGGAGAGAGGATATGTAACTCCCTTATGAAGAGATTGAAGACTCTCAAAATGCATGATTCTGTGTGTCAAGGATTCTAAGATTGAAGCCAGAGGGACTAGGAGCTAACCACTGCATTGTCTGACTGTGACTTCGAAAAGGGGCTTAACTTCTTAGAACCTCCGTTTCCCCACCTACAAAAGGAGACTGACAATAGCAACCTAGGGGGCAGGGGGTGTCCCCAGGAGACACAGCAGGGTCTGGCCTAGGTCAGCTGCTCCACCTGGGGGGATTCCGGCCCCACTCCCAATTCCAAAGTCTCTGGTGACTAGTGGCTTTGGTTTAGGGACTGGCTCTATTCCCTTCCCCAAACTGGGGATGATTCCCAAGAGGCCAGCAGCGGCTCTGGGGGCTGGAGAATCTGCTGCCCCTGCATCCAGCCCAGAAATGTCAGTCCCGTCCGATCCCCAAAGAGTGGTCCTCTGTCCCCGTAGACAGAAAGGCGCCAAATGAGCCGAGTCCAACCCCGGACTGCGGAGAAGGAAAGACAGACGCCCAAAGGGGGTATCCCGAGGACAGTGTGGGGCGCGGGGATATGTGATCCAGCCAGGGGTCTACAGGTCCCTGCCGATAAAACGCTGGGAAAATGACTACCAGTTGCCCGTCTGGGCCTCTCAAGGCAAGTCCAGATGTGACTAGACTAGGGGGCTGCGAGGTGGGGCAGAAAGACTTGAACTGGATTCTCCGCCAGAGCTCGCCGGGCCGGGACACTTGCCTCTCTGAGCCTCAGAGTCCTCATCTGTGAAATGACACGCAGGTACGACGCGGGGAGAAAGCAGACAGCAGACGCTCGGGGAACGGGGCCCCCAGACCCGGGGTCGCACCCGGACCCACCCGCGCCCTCACCTGGAGCCCGCGCTAGGCGTGTCCCGGCTCCTCTCGCGCAGGCTTTGGAGAGGCTGACAGCTCGGACCCGGGCCGGTAGTGGCCGCTCCCAACGACGCCCAGGAGGCCCCAGCCCCGCGTGGGCACCTTTGGGGTCCCCTTTGGAGCTGCCCTCCGCGGTCGAGCTGAGCGGGTGGCCCTCACTGTCGAAGGCCCCCACCGCAGGGAAAGTCCCTGGGGCGCCGTGGAAGGGGAAGTGAGCACGCCGCCCCCCTTCACACCAGAATGGTTCGCCCCGGACTTCCTGATTGGTTCCTCGCTTCCGTTCGAACGGCGCGCCGCCAGGGTTGCCAGGCGACCGCTTAGCTTCCCCCGCCCGAAGGAGAGGCGCTGCTCAGCAGCTCCGCCCGCTCCTCCCAGCCGGCCCCACCTTCTTCCTGCCGCCGCTTCAGCCCCGGCGCCTGGTTCTTTCCCTTCCTCCTCCTCCCTCCCGCGGCCAGCTGGGACTTCCTCTAGGACCCCAGCTGGAAGAGCTCCAGTTAGAGGGCCCTGGCTGGTTCCTAGTCCTGACTTTGACGCTAACTCCCTATGTGACCCGGTGCAAGCCCCTTCCTTTCTCTGTTCTCCTAACTGCATGATGATGAGTGAGTTAATTTTAAAATGTGCATACCCAGCAGTCCCGAAATTTACAAAGGAAATGACCAAAGATATGAGCAAAGATTAATATTGCTCAGCCTTATTCATCATAGCAAAATAATGGAAACAACTTCAATGCCTCTTGAAAGGGATTGGTTATATAATTCCATCCTGTGGAGGAGCTAACTTAATTGAGCTTTTTGCATGCCGGGTAGCTTTACAGAACAAGTCTTGTCAAGGCTTATGACATAACCCTCTAAAAGTACTTTTAATTATTAACACTTTATTTATTTCTTTATCTTTTTCTTTTCTTTTTTTTTTTTTTTTTTTGAGATGGAGTCTCACTCTGTCGCCCAGGCTGGAGTGCAGTGGCAGGATCTCAGCTCACAGCAGCCTCAATCTCCTGGGGTCAAGCAATCTTCCCACCTCAGCCTCCCAAGTAGCTGGGACTACAGGTGTGCACCACCACACCCGGTATTTTCTGTATTTTTTGTAGGGATGGGGTTTTGCCATGTTGCCCAGACTGATCTTAAACTCCTGAGCTCTAGCAATTCTACCAACTCAGCCTCCCAAAGTACTAGGATTACAGGCATGAGCCACGCCACCTAGCCTAATTTTTCCCACTTTCTGATGAGGAATATTATGCAGCCATTAAAAGTGAAGTAGCTACCAGGAGCAGTGGCTCACACCTGTAATCCCAGCACTTTGGGAGGCTGAGGCGACCAGATCACCTGAAGTCAGGAGTTCAAGACCAGCCTGGCCAACGTGGTGAAACCTCGTCTCTACTAAAAATACAAAAATTAGCCAGGCGTGGTGCCACATGCCTGTAATCCCAGCTACTCAGGAGGCTGAGGCAGGAGAATAGATTGAACCTGGGATGTGGGGGATGCAGTAAGCTGAGATCATGCCACTGCACCCCAACCTGGGCAAGAGATCATCTCAAAAAGATAAAAATAAAAGTGAAGTAGCTAGAAGATATTTAAAGATAGGGGGAAATGCTAAGTATTAAACATTGGTTTATTTATGTTTTTTAGAGACAGGGTCTAGCTCTGTTGCCCAGGGTGGAGTGCAGTGGTGCAATCATAGCTCACTGTAACCTAGGTTGAAGCAATCCTCACACCTCAGCCTCCAGAGTAACTAAGACTACAGGCCCGCATCACCATGTCAAGCTACGGGTCTCGCTATGTTGCCCCAGGCCAGTCTAGAACTCCTGGCCTCAAGTGATCCTCCTGCTTTGGCCTCCTGAATTTCTAGGATTACAGGCATAAGCCAATGCACCCCTCCCAAATTTTTTTGAAGTACAGTATGCTTCAAAACACTATGTACAGCATAAATATGTATTAAATACATATGTATATGTGTATAATCATCTATAATCACAGCAGTTAATTTCTTCTTTGTGTTTTTGTGAATTTTCCAAATTTCCAATACTTGAACATGTCAAAAAAGTATATTTTTAGGGGGATTAGAATGAATTAACTCTAAGGGCCTTTAAGGTGAGGAAATTTTATAGCAGTCAGTCTGAATTGCTCAATTTGGAACCAGCTTCTCTGTTTCATTCCAGCTGGTGTCTTTTATTCTTTGTTTGGATTGCCAATAATTGAGAACTTACTGCGTAAACCCCTGGGTGGGCAGGGGAGGGAGCTAATAATATATCAATAGCTAATAATGATTGTACACTCTGGCATGGACACCAACCAAATCAGAGCCAACCACTGTCATAAACAGGGAGTCTGCTGTATCCGTGAGGACCAGCTAAATATCAATCCTGGCCCTGTGCCCTCTGCTACATTGTGTTAGGGCTTTATACACATCATCTCATTGGACTTCATGACTATCTAAGGCGAGAGATCCTGCTATTATTCCCATTATATAGATGAGAAAACTAAGGTCGGTCTGGATCCAGAATGAATTCTCTGATCCACTCTGTTACATTCCCTTGTAAACATGTGAGAACTGTTTGGGAGTAACAGTGAGGTAAGGCAAGGGGGATCCTGTGATCCTATAAGACACAAGAGAAGATTGAGCAGGTAGCTTCAGCCTAGGGAGACTTCTTTTTTTTTTTTTTTTTTTTTTTTTGAGACAGAGTTTCACTCTTATCGCCCAGGCTGGAATGCAATGGCACGATCTCAGCTCCCTGCAACCTCTGCCTCCCAAGTTCAAGTGATTTTCCTGTCTTAGCCTCCTGAGTAGCTGGGATTACAGGTGCCCGCCACCATACCCGCTAATTTTTTGTATTTTTAGTAGAGACAGGGTTTCAGTATGTTGGTCAGGCTGGTCTTGAACTCCTGACCTCAGGCGATCCACCCACCTCGGCCTCCCAAAGTGCTGGGATTACAGGCGTGAGCCACCACGTCCAGCCCTAGGGAGACCTCTTTAAGAAAAAATTACAGATATGAAATTAAGTAATAAAGTGAAGATTTGGTTAGAAAGAGACAAGAAACCACAATAAGGTGGCTCATGCCTGTAATCCCACCACTTTGGGAGGTCGAGGTGGAAGGAGTGCCTGAGCCCAGGGGCTTCAGACCAGCCTGGGCAACAAAGCGAGATCCCCAGCTCTACAAAAAAATTTTAAAAAGAAATTAGCTGGCCAGGCATGGTGGCTCATACCTGTAATCCTAGCACTTTGGGAGGCCGAGGCTGGTGGATCACCTGAGCTCAGGAGTTTGAGACCAATCTAGACAACATGGCAGAACCTCATCTCTACTAAAAATACAAAAAATTAGCTGGACGTGGTAGTGGGCACCTGTAATCCCAGCTACTTGGGAGGCTCAGCCAGGAGAATCACTTGAATCTGGGAGGCAGAGGTTGCAGTGAGTCAAGATTGTGCCACTGCACTCCAAGCTGGACGACAGTGAGACTCCGTCTCAAAAAAAAAAAAAAAAAAGGAAAAAAGAAATTAGTCAGGCATGGTGGCACGTGCCTATAGTCCCAGCTACTCAGGAGGCTGAGAGGGAGGATTGCTTGAGACCAGGAGGTTGAGGCTGCAGTAAGCCATGATTTCACCACTGCATTCCAGCCTAGATGACAGAGCAAGACCTTGTCTCCAAAAAAAAAAAAAAAAAAAAGAGAAATTGCACAAACGTTACAAAACGCAGAAAAATAACATTCTTTTTATTAGCTGCCTGTCTCAAACACATCTGTAATACTTTCCATAAACTAGCTGCTGGCTCCGTGTATACATTCAAACCTCTCCTTCACAGTCTTGTGGAACTGAGTGCTGTAGGACCATTCATATATCTTGAGATATAACCTCTGATCCTGAATCTTGATGCCACGACAAGTTGAGTCAGCTCAGTATGCTCGGTATGGATATATTCCTGGAAGCCATTTCAATACCAGGTCAGTTAGTAATAATTTTTCACAAAAGTGACTGGAAACAATATAAATATATCCCACTAAACCCAAAGTAAATGTTAAGGTCCTTTTAGCAAGATGCCCAAACTGCTCACACCAACCCCAACATCATCTGATGCAAAGGGAAGTTGGAATGAAAGGAGATAGTGGTTTTAACAGAATGAGGTTAAGATGCCTTACATTGGTAAATTTTACAGAAGCACATGGCCATGTGAACACATCACTAGGGTGCTTCCCAGACCTCAACTTCCCTGTTATTAACCAGGAATGACAACAATGGTGTTGACCAAATTCTTCTCTGAGATATGTAACTTTAATCAGGGTTGGGAGATATTTGAGATACCTGGATAAAGGCCCTGCTCACTGACCCTTGCGTCTTCAAGTTTGCCTCTGCCATGCACAGCCGAGAGCTTAAAATTAGACAAAACAAAAACCGAGAGGCCCATTCCTAGATTGAGAAAGTGAGGCAGAGGGCAGAAGGAACTTGTCAGGATCCCAAATTAGGCCATGTAAAGAGAGATCATCTGGGCGCACTCAGATTCTAGAATTGTGGGCATCTTTATGTGCCAACAGCATATTGGTCTTCTATTTTCAGGACTATATTAAGCACCTGGTGCCAATTCAGAGTATTCAAGTCCTCCCAGTCCTTCTCCTCCCCCACCATGGGGAGTGGTGAGAGAGAAGAAAAAGGCGGATAAACTGTCATTAACTACACCCAGATCAGAGAGAACTGGGCGGTCTGTATGGCCTTATCCTGACCCAGCACATGAGCAATGATAACATCTCGCCTTGTTGACAGGCCTATGGCTGGTTCTGCGTGTGGGTTTTGCCTCCTTCAGAACGTTGACCTTAGCAGTATTTTTGCCACTCAGCTCGAAACCAAGATGCAATCAGCCCCAGATGTCAGCTCTCTGTCTCCTGTGCACCTATGGCTCTGTTTTCTTTAGTTTCATTTAATTTAAAGGGTGTTCTCTCTATGTGTGTTTACTTGCACCTGAACTTTTCTGGATTTATCCACCAGAAACTGGTCCCAGTGGTGGCTACTTGTGCTGACTGAGGGGAAAGGGGTGGGGGAAAGACTTTTATAAAATATTTTTGGCCGGGCGTGGTGGCTTATGCCTGTGATCCCAGTACTTTGGGAGGCCAAGGTGGGTGGATCACCTGAAGTCAGGAGGTCAAAACCAGCCTGGCCAACATGGTGAAACCCCATCTCTACTAATAATACAAAAATTAGCAGGGCATGGTGGTGGGCACCTGTAATTCCAGCTACTCAGGAGGCTGAGGCAGGAGAATCACCTAAACCCGGGAGGCGGAGGTTTCAGCGAGCCAAGATCGCACCATTGCACTCCAGCCTGGGCGACAAGAGCGAAACTCTGTCTCCAAAAAAAAAAAGAAAACATTTTTATACCTTTTGGATTTTGTACCTTGTAAAGGTATTATCTATTTTTTTAAAGTAACATTTTAAAGGCATTCTATGAAAGAACAAAATAAGGTAGTGAAGTAAAAGAAAACTCATCCCAAAATATGTCCTTCCAAACACTGTGCATGAGAAGGTAAATTGAGATGTTGCTACTGAAGGAGAATATAGTTACATTTATTTATTTTTTAAATTTTTTTGAGACAAGGCCTCACTCTGTTGCCCAGGCTGGAGTGCGGTGGTGCAAACACAGCTCACTACAGCCTCGACTTCCCAGGCTCAGGTGATGCTCCCACCTCAGCCTCCCACGTAGCTGGGACTACAGGTGTCTGCCCCCATGCGCAGCTAATTTTTCTGTAGAGACAGGGTTTTGCCATGTTTCCCAGGCTGGTCTGAAACTCCTTGACTCAAGCAATCTGACCATCTTGCCTCCCACAGTGCTGGGATTACAGGCATGAGCCACCACGGCCAGCTATAGTCACATTCTTTTTTTTTTTTTTTTCTTTTTGAGACGGAGTTTCACTCTTGTTGCCCAAGCTGGCACCCTCTCAGCTCACCGCAACCTCTGCCTCCCGGGTTCAAGCAATTCTCCTGCCTCAGCCTCCCGTGTAGCTGGGATTACACGCATGCACCACCATGCCCAGCTAATTTTGTATTTTTAGTAGAGACGGGGTTTCTCCATGTTGGTCAGACTGGTCTCCAACTCCCAACCTCAGGTGATCCGCCCGCCTTGGCCTCCCAAAGTGCTGGGATTATAGGCATGAGCCACCGTGCCCGGCCCAGTCACAATTCTTTGAAAAAATTAAATGCTGTATCAGTGGACTTGTACTCTGATCCAGCAACTGTGCATTTAGAAATTGACCCTAAGCAAATAATTAAGCTGATTCAGAAGGGCTTAATTAGAAGAATACTTACTATGGCATTGCTACTTTTTTTTTTTTTTTTGAGATAGTCTCACTCTGTCGCCCAGGCTGAAGTGCAGTGGCACAAACACCGCTCACTGCAGCCTCAGCCTCCCGGGTTCAAGTGATTCTCATGCCTCAGCATGAGGCATGAGAAGAATCACGCCCTTCTACTTGGGAGAAGTAGCTAGGATTACAGGCGCACACCATCACACCTGGCTAATTTTTGTATTTTTAATAGAGACAGGGTTTCACCATGTTAGCCAGGCTTGTCTCAAACTTCTGACCTCAGGTGATCCACCCACCTCGGCCTCCCAAAGTGCTGGGATTACAGGCATGAGCCACTGAGCCCAGCCTGGCATTGCTATTAATGGCAAAAAGAAAAAAGAAATGAAAACCACCACAAGCTGATTAGCTGGCCACAGGGCAACAGGAATGGTGAACGGGACAATAAGACTCTCTCAGGGCCTCTCATGAGGTGTCATCTGAAGGCTGGACAAGGGTAGTTCACTAACATGACTGGCAAGTTGGGACAGATGTTGCCTGGGGGCCTCAGTCCCTCCCCAAATGGCCTACTCCACAGGGCTTCTTGAGTAACCTCAGGACATGGCAGCTGGCTTCCCTCAGAACTAGCAATCCCAGAGATCACGGTGGGGTTGCGATGGCTATTATGGCCTAGCTTTAGAAGTAACCCACAGTCACATCTGTCATATGCTATTGGCCAAGCATGTGGGATGTGAGATGTATTGGTGTGGCCATCCTGGGGAGACACAGTCTGCCACCCCAGGTTATTCCAGTGTGTAGCAGCCAGGGTTGAGGACCATGGAGCCTGCAAGCTTCATAAACAAGGAAACAGAGCAGGTAGGAACAATGCATCAGCCAGAGGGAACGTTCGGGGTCACAAGCAAATTCTTTCATCTTTCTAAGCTTCAGCTTCCTCGCCTGTAAAATGGGAGTTAACCGTGCTGTATTAGTTCGTTTTCACGCTGTTGATAAAAACATACCCGAGACTGGGCAATTTACAAATGAAAGAAGTTTAATGGACTTCCACAAGGCTGTGGAGGCCTCACAATCATGACCGAAGGCAAGGAGGAGTAAGTCACATCTTACGTGGATGGCGGCAGGCAAAAAAGAGAGCCTGTGCAGGGAAACTCCGATTTTTATAACCATCAGATCTCGTGAGACCCATTTTCACTATCACAAGAACAGCGCAGGAAAGACCTGCCCCCACAGTTCAATCACCCCCTACCGGGTTCCTCCCACGACACATGGGAATTGAAGCAGTTACAAAACAAGATGAGATTTGGGTGGGGACACAGCCAAACCATATCACATGCCTACTTCCCAGGCTTGTGAGAGGCACCCTGAATGACCCTCTGCACCCTGTGGCTGTTGTTTCTGCTGCTATTTTGGGTGGTTTGTTTGGTCAGTATGAGCTCATGAGGCTGTGTGTCCCAAGGTATCACTGTCTGTCCAAACCCACTAAGGGCTCTCCAGTATGCTCTGAATTCCATGGCCTTTGGGAGCGGACCGTGGTCAACCTCATCCATTATCACCCTCCCACTCGGCCCAGCTAGCTCCAGCCAATGGCGCTGGTCTGCTTGTCAAATGCACCAAGCAACCTTGAGCCTCAGAACCTTTGTGCTTGCTGTTCCCTCTGCTTGGGTTTCTCTTCCCCCAGACAGTCATACAGCTCTCCCTTACCTCCTTCCACACTTCCTTTGCATCTTTGTTCAAATGTCATCTCCTCTGGGAAATCCCTCCCCACTTCCCCCATGGTTCCTGTGGTCTCTCTGCATAGCGTTCCAACCTCCAGACATGTGGTGTGGCCCCTGCTTGCATGTTGGCTGTCTCCTCCACCAACTGTGAGTGCCCAGAAGGCAGCATCCACACTTCTCTTGCCCACTTGTCCCGCAGTGAGAGATTCGCCATGCCTATCTCCACATTAAAGTCTCTGAGAAGTATTAGAGTGGAAACTTCTTTCTCTTTGCTTACACCACATTTCCCAAACACATTTAACCCTGGAGCCCTATGTCCACACAACACTTATGAAACGGTCCATAGAAATAGTGAAAACATGGCCAGGCATGATGGCTCATGCCTGTAATCCCAGCACTTTGGGAGGCCAAAGCAAGCAGATCATTTGAGGTCAGGAGTTTGACACCAGCCTGGCCAACGTGGTGAAACCCTGTCTCTACGAAAAATAAAAAAATAAAAATGAGCTGGGCGTGGTGGCGGGTGCCTGTAATCCCAGCTACTCAGGAGGCTGAGGTAGGAGAATTACTTGAACCTAGAAGGCAGAGGTTGCAGTGAGCTGAGATCGTGCCACTGCACTCTAGCCTGGGTGACAGAGTGAGACCCTGTCTGAAAAAAAAAAGAAAGAAAAGAAATCGTGAAAACACTGTCTCCAGAGGGTGGGTCTCCAGGATGTGATGAGGGACACTTCCTTCTCTGCCAGTGCCCCCCTTGAAAGCACAGAGTGCTTCCCCTGGGACACAGGGACTGCCCTCAGTATCCAGTTCCCCACAGCCCGTGCCTCTCAAACCACCATCACTGCCTCCAGCTCACACCTTCAGAAAGAATCGGGCCCAGCTTCCTATGGGAGCACTCCAGGTCTGAGGACATGCCCCACTGGCTTAGCCACACTGTGGGCCCATCTTTAATGGGAACAATAATTTCCCCTACGATGTAAGATGTCACATCAAGTCTCTGAAATGATGCTGGCAAAGCTTTTAGCACAGAGCCTGCCCACAGCATGGTTCTATAAACAGGCATTATGCTAATGATGAGATCAGAGGGCATGAGTCTGCTCCGGCTGCCAAAACAAAATATCAGAGACTATGTGGCTCAAACAGCACACATCTATTTCTCACAGCTCTGGAGCCTAGAGGTACCAGATGGAGGTGCCAGCTGATTCAGTCCCTGGTGAAGGCTCTCTTCTTGGCCTGTGGCTGGCCACCTTCTCCTATGTCCTCACATAGCTTTTCCTTGGTGCATGGAACTAGGGAGGGTTAGAGAGTTGGTGAGAGACAGAGAGAGAAATCCCTCTTTCTCTTCCTTGTTTGTTTGTTTGTTTTTTGAGATGGAGTCTCTTGCTCTGTTACTCAGGGTGGAGTGCGGTGGTGCAATCTCGGCTCACTGCAACCGCCTCCCAGGTTCAAGCAATTCTCCTGCCTCAGCCTCCTGAGTAGCTGGAATTACAAGCATGCGCCACCACGCCCAGCTAATTTTTGTATTTTTTGTAGAGACAGGATTTCACCATGTTGGCCATGGCTGGTCTTGAACTCCTGACCTCAAGTGATCCTCCTGCCTCAGCCTCCCAAAGTGCTGGGATTACAGGCATGAGCCACCATGCCTGGCCTTCTATTTGCTAATTTGTTTAACAGAGAGGAAGCCTCAGACTTGGGGCTAAACCGGCATTTTTCTTTGTTTTCTTCTCTAAAATTTGTCTTTTTGAGGTGGTTTATACATAAAATAAAACTCACCAACTTTGAATGTACACTTTGGTGATTTTTGGCAAATGTATACAATCTGTAACCACCATCATCATCAAAAAACAGTTTGGATCACCCTAAAAAGTTTCTGCACCCCTTGATATTGTCAGCTCCCTCTCCCCAACCCTGGCAACCAGTGGTCTGTTTTCTTTCTCTCTAGTTTTGCATTTTCTAGACAATCATATAAATGTAACCTTTTGTGTCTGACTTTTTTCACTTGAGGCTAGACTAGAGTAACATTGTTTTATTTCCATTT